>NT_187526.1:0-70887 GCF_000001405.40 Homo sapiens | reverse complement strand
TGCTGTTTATTCTTCTAAAAGTTTTATAGTTTTGTACTTATATTTCATTCTATATTCATTTTGAGTTTATACTTATATATATATATATAATATTTATGTATATAATGAGTCAAAGTTCTTTTTTTCGTATATAGGCATCCAATTATCCCAGCATAATTTGTCCAGAAGGCTTTCCTTTCTCCACTGAATTGCCTTTGCACATCTGCCATACACAGAATCTCTTTTTGGCTGTGCTTGTCTTGATAGTACGGTAGGAGTGGTAAAGGCATTAATGAATCACAGAGCCACCTTGATTTGCTTAAAATTCTGTTGCACCTGATATCAAGCAACTACTAATACCAGAATATTAACCTGTGTGTGAACAAGAATAGTCTTTGGGGAGTCTTTATAAACAAAAAGGAGAAATTATCAGAAAAATTTCTGAAACTTGGAAACAGGCAGAAGAGATTGGTGTTCTGTGAGAGCAGCTCAGACCAGAGAGCAAACCTAAGTCCAGAAATGGAGCAGGAGGGAAAGACGGGCCCATTAGGGAGAATGCTCCTACCAAGGGAGCTGTGTGGAAGGATGACAGCTTGGTTTGCCTCAGTGAGGTCCCGTTCCCCGAGGCGGGCAGGCAGGGGCGTGCTCGTCAGGACTTGGCAGTGGAAAATCCACGGAGCACCGTGCGTGACCGGCTCCTCTAACAGGAGACCCACTGCGCGGTGATGGTGATGGTGCGCATCCGTATAGCACACACAGACCTAGGAAAATTTCATAAACGTGATCTCGTGAAACTGTCTTGCAAAGGAGAAAGCTGAATTTGATGAGAATGCTTTTTGTTCAGGCACCGCAGGAGACACTGTTGTCCTCCAGTTCTGCACCTTCTCCGTGGGATGTCCTTTCTACACCTCTTCCCTGGGATGCCCTTTCTGCACCCGCTCCCTGGGGTGTCCTTTCTGCACCCGCTCCCTGGGGTGTCCTTTCTGCACCCGCTCCCTGGGGTGTCCTTTCTGCACCCGCTCCCTGGGGTGTCCTTTCTGCACCCGCTCCCTGGGGTGTCCTTTCTACACCCGCTCCCTGGGATGTCCTTTCTACACTTTTTCCCTGGGGTGTCCTTTCTACACCTGTTCCCTGGGGTGTCCTTTCTACACCTGCTCCCTGGGATATCCTTTCTACACCTGTTCCCTGGGGTGTCCTTTCTGTACCTGTTTCCTGGGATGTCCTTTCTACACCTGCTCCTGGGATGTCCTAACAGAATCCTTTTTTTTTTTTTTTTTTTTTTACCAGTACCAGTCTGTGGCCTGTTAGGAACTGGGCCTCACAGCAGGAGCTGGGTTAGTGAGCATTACCACCTGACCTCTGCCTCCTGTCAGATGAGCAGAAGTATTAGATTCTCACAGGAGCGGGAACCCTATTGTGAACTGCACCTGTGAGGGATCTCGGTGGCACACTCCTTATGAGAACCTAATGCCTGAGGATCTTTCACTGTCTCCCATCCCCCCAGATGGGACCGTCTAGTTGCAGGAACACAAACTCAGGGACCTCACTGATTCTGCATTATGGCGGGTTGTATAATTATTTCATTACAGATTGCAATGTAATAATAATAGAAATAAAGTGCACAATAAATGTAATGTGCTTGAATCATCCCCAAACCATCCCCCTGGCCCTGTCCGTGGAAAAACTGTCATTCACAAAACCGGTCCCTGGCACCATAAAGGTTGGGACCGTTGCTGACTTCATTTCCAGTCCCCAGGGTGGATGTTGGTTCACAGAAGCCAATCATCCAATAGCGTTCCCTTGACGAGAAGCCAATCAGCCAATGGTGTTTCCTTGACGAGAAGCCAATCAGCCAATGGCATTCCCTTGATGAGAAGCCAATTAGCCAATGGTGTTCCCTTGATGAGAAGCCAATCAGCCAATGGCATTCCCTAGACGAGTACTTTGGTCTGATGGGCTCATGACCTAGGCTGGCACAGCTAGGCTGAAGGGGACATCCTCAATGGGTTATGGAGGCCATTTTCTGCCTCCCCTGAACACCGACATGAATGCTTGTTGCTTCCACAAGCATCTTATGACTGGGAGGGGAGCCACACCGAGGCACAATCTAGACCTCAAAACTCAGCAAGGTGGAGTATGGAAACCTTGTTATGGAAAATAATAGCAACAATAGGTATTGTTTATTGTTGGGTGAGTCAAGAACTTTCTCTTACTTGTAGCCAAAGGCATCCTATCTGATAGATATTTTATACTTTGTGTTTTTGTGTTGCTATTAGGAAAGATATACATTTTTAATTTTAAATTCTAACAGGACATTGCAATGTCCTGTTAGAATTTAAATAAATTGACATACAAATTTAGATAAATTGACATGAAAATGTACAAAAGTCTTGTAAATTGCAGAACAACATGCATATGTGATGACTTTTCAATAAAAAGGAAAAAATATACTTGAGTATGTGTAAAAACAGTTTGAAGATTATATAACATAATATTGGCATTTGTACCTCAGCTTGGGAGGCAGGGATGGAGAGGCTGGAACATGGAAGGTCTGTTATTCTCTTATGCATGTGTGTGACACTGAATTCTGGATAACTTGGAACGATATTTGTAATGTAGATATTATTTAAGAGAGTAATAATGTTGATAAGGCAGTCAAGGACTTGCATGAAGCTACTATCCTGATGATGGAGAACTTTTCTGTAAAATGTACTGACCTCACATAGGTGCATTCAGAAACGACTGTGAAGGAATGTCATCAGTTTAGATCCAGAGCCTGTGAAGGATGCAGGGCTTTCCTTTCAGAAATCCTTTTAGAGAAGGAATGAACACGCTAATCACTGCTGGAAAAGTGTTACAATTAGTAAAGAAAAATCAGTGCTATCAACACTATACACATGTAATTATTCTGGAGATTTAAAATTGCAAGTCGGGTTGGAATACGATCAAAGTCAGGAAATAGTAGAAAAAACTAGCAAAACAAGCAAAACAGAGACAGAAGGTGGAGAAAAGAAATCCAGCAGTGCTACTGAATCAAGAAGAACACATTTACGGAGAGTTTGAAGTATGCCGGGGACTGTTCTAGGCACCTTCTCACTATTTTGTTTCTGTCACATGTGAGGCTGAATGTTTCAGCAGAAAGAACGTGACTCTCAAGACAGCAATTCTTGAAATCTTGCGTAGATCCTGCCATTGTGGTTTAGTCTCTAGGTGACTGTGGAGAAGTAACATAGCCCTTCTGAACTTTCATTTACCATTTGTAAAATAAAAGGGAAAAGAAAAGAACAACTGCATCTTAGATGTATTAAAAAAGTTAAATGATGTACGTGCAATGCATCCAGCCTAGTATAGAGTATTAGGCGTTTGACTTAATTCATTTACAGATATTACTAAATGTAATATAATTTTATAAGTACTCCATGATGAGTTATAATAATTTACAGTTTATGTAATGGAGTTTTGGAGAAGTATTTTCTCTAATTCATGAAGAGGGAGTGAGTCCATCTAATTTTGAAATGCTTTGTCCCTCCCAGGACACCATGGGCAGATCTGATAGGAGTCAGGTCACTACCTGGGGTGGAGCTCAGGAAATGCCTGCAGGGTGGGTTCCTGAAACACAGGTCCTGAGTGAGGCGTAAATTGGGAATTCAATGCCCTGAGAGGTCTTGCATGACCTTGCCACCCTGCACAAGGAAGCATCCACCCGGGGCTTCTTTGAGGGCATCCACTTTGCTGAGTTGTGAAGATCCGGCAAGTCAGTCATGGGCAGCATGGCACGGCCCCAGAAGTTCTTCCCAACAGTGGTCATCACGGCCCCCACAGCCCCACTCTACCCAGTCCTGCAGAAACGTGGATGGATGCCCACACCCACTTACAGTCTCTGCAGGTGTGCCGGCTTGTTAACACCCTCATTGCCTCCATTCCCCACGAAAGGTCTTCATTATCTCAATCCTGGATTATTGAAAATGTTTCCTCTAAAATTCACCTGGGCACATTGCTGCCTGCTGAGTCCTAGCCTGAATCTTAGATCTTTCATTCTGCCAAATGGAGCATTAGCCTAATTTTTCAATGCTTCCCACTGGGAATGCCTTCTCTTCTCCACCTGTGCAAGACACCAACGATTTTTAAAAGAGACTAACCACTTCCTCTAGGAAAGATGTCCTGACCATTAAAGTCCAACCCCAGCTCTGACCCCACTCCCACCCTACCCTATACCTTTTTTTTTGAGACAGGGTCTCACTCTGTGGCCCAGGCTGGAGTGCAGTGGTGCCATCATAGCTCACTGCAGCCTCAAACTCTTGGACCTAAGAGATCCTCCCCACTCAGCCTTCTGAGTAGCTGGAACTACAGGCATCAGCTACCATGCCTGGCTAATATTTTATTATTATTTTTTGCAGAGATGGGGCTTCTAGGTTTCTTGGGCTTGGTTGCCTGGGCTGGTCTCTAATTCTGAGGCTCAAGGGATCCTCTTTTCTTAGCCTCCAGAAGGGCTAGGATTACAGGCATGAACCACCGTGCGCAGACTTCACCCCCTTTAGTGGAATAAGGACAGTACGAAACATAAGGAAGGACTATTCATAAAGAAATTCTATTTTTTAGGAATCCTAAATAAACTTTCACCCTCTAGAATGCTTCAGACATTCATTTCACTACATCTGGGTACTAGATGAAATTACTAACCTTTCACCCTCCCTCCAACACTGTAATTCTATGATTGCTCTTATTCAGGATATCTTCTCCTGTAACCTGTCACCTTCCCATAGATGAGTCTGAATGGCCACCGGGACTCTGCTCAGCCAGGCATGGGCCCTGGGGCACTAGAGGGTGTGGGGCAGCCCTGCACACACACGCGAATGGAGAATTCTCTCTACTTCTCCGGTATTTATGTTGAAAGCAAAATGATTACTGCTATCATCTAAAGAAAACAAGCAGAAAGGTCACCTTGTCCCAGAAACGCTCTTTCACTTTGCCTTTTAACGACTTGAACCTTTAGTGCTGATGGTTTCTAAGTGGCTAAATGCCACTATACATTTGAGTAAGTCCCTGAGATGAAGGATCCTATGTTTAGTAATTTTCTTTCCAGCATGTAATGTTCTATAATGGTTAATGAATTGGATGCTTCAAATATAAAGGTTACTTTAAGCATCAGGAATCAACCATAATTCCAATTTAGGGTGCCCAATTTGAGGGGAAAATCACAGCAGCCTGGGATAAATGAGAATAAACATTGGCATCAGTTTCTATGAAGATCTGGGTGTGACTTCATTCTGTGGACTAAGAGATCTCAGTGTGCATTAGTTACAGGGAAGCTTCGTGCTCTGTGATGGCATGCCAAGGAGCCTGGATACATTTTGACAACGTGAATGAAAGATAAATAACACAGAATAGTTTCACATTCAAGGTATATATGTATATTTAAATGAAGTAGCCATCTTTAGTTACTAAGTTCACACTCAGCATTCTCCGCGCTCAGCCAGGCGGGAGCCCTGGACTTTGGTGTGAAGTCAGAGCTCCTCTGGGATGCGCTGCCTCATTTATCTCCTGTCACTCTTCATTCCTGCAGCACACATCCTCCCTGAAGGATCATCCCGCTATTTAGGATAAGGAGGATTATAATGCATTCTTCCTCATCCCTTCACATGGTATACATTCAAATTTGTGAGTGATGTATTTGCTGTTGTCAGGAAGAGAAAAGCAATTCAGACACACAAGCTGTTTTATATTCTCCTTCGGACCATCAAGTTTGAGAGGAAGAACCATTAAAGTGCCTTAAAATATTACAAACATCCAAGTAACTGCACGACACATTATACTCATTTGTAAGCTAGGTGTTCTGTCTCCCGGAGCACAGGCTAGAAGTGTCATCACTTCTCAGGAACTTGAGCGCCACATCGGTGGAGTCCCTTCCTGGAAAGCGATGCAGCCCGTTCCTCACATTCAATGTAGACACAGACACAAAATCCTCTCCTCCCCTTCCCTTCCACTACAGCTCATATTTATCCACGGAGCGCATGACTCCGTGCGAACGATCATTTCCACACAGTAGCTCCGGTGAAAGATTCTCACCTTCTGAAGATTCCTCTTTTCCCCCGATAAACTGCTACATATTCCCCAATGCTATGTCTCAGACACCCGAGCAGGTGTAGGTGAGAAGAGTGTGAGTTGTTCACTTACCCCGGTTCTCTGAACTTCCATGAACGTGGCTCTTTGGAAGGACTTCTCCCACATGGCCAGCTCGCTGCCAAGCTCCACGTTGAAAACATGGCTCTTCCCATGGCCGGCCACGATGCTGAAGCAATAGGGCCTCTGGTCCTCAAAGTCAAAATCTTGAAGACCCAGATACAAGTTTGCTTGCAACCAGCAGTCCTCTGTGAGCCAGAACTGAAAAACAGAGCATGGATTGGAAACGTGCAGCGCTGGAAGGTCATTCCCATGCTGAGGGCCCTGGTGTGGGGAGAAGGCAGCGTTTGCGTGATCTGGGAAACGGTCTCCTGGGTGCAGACAAGGAGGCAAATTCAGAGCAATGAGCCCTCTCATGCACAGCTGGTGCGGAAGTGGTCCACAGACAAATATCTGTAAATAAATTTTGTCAAATGCTTAATTCTCTGTAAGTGCCTTTCCCTTAAAATACTGGTCACCACACACTTTCCTGTTTTACGGTGAAGAGAAAGATGAAGCTGGGTGTGGTGGCTCACGCCTGTAATCCCAGCACTTTGGGAGACTAAGGTGGGTGGATTGCTTGAGCCCAGGAGTCTGAGACCAGCCTGGGCAACATGGCAAGACCTTGTCTTCACAAAAATAAATGAATAAATAAAATACAACAAATTAGCCAGGTGTGGCAGCACACGCTTGTAGTTCTAGCTATTTGGGAGGCTGAGGTAGTAGAACGGCTTGAGCCCAGAAGCCCGAGGTTACAGAAAGCCAAGATCACACCACCAATGCACTCCAGCCTGGGTGACAGAGGGAAACCCTGTCTCAAGAAAAAAAAAAAAAAGATAAAGATGAAAGTCTTGAGACATTGATGCTTGTGTTTATCATAAAACCAGAAAACACTGAAAATACCACCACCACTCTAACTAAGCGTGCCCCCTGCGCCTCCGAGTCTCTATAGAATTACTGGCTCTTCCTCTCCTTGCGGGTTCATTGTCCTGAGATAAAGGACCGAGTGCCCAAAACGCCTCTGAAGCATGACAAGGCACCCGGCCACCCAGGAGCTCATTCTGCCAACCCAAAGGCCTGACAAAGGGAATGATGTAATGATGTTGTTCCATTTCTGGTTAATCGTTTAACCCAGAGATGTAAGTTACTTACAGCACGTCTATTAATCACTCGGCGATTCGGATGCTGCCAGCCTGTGCTGCATGGAGCAGCCTGGGGAGCTCCCCACTTCTTTCCCCCATCTGCAAGGTTGCACCCCACTTCGGGATTCATTTTATCAAGGGCAGAAGAGAAAGACTGGGGGTCCCAGTTGTCACAATTACTAGGTCAACAGCATGGAGGTGCATGGTGAACGCGCACTCAATACCTGGCTGGCACCTCTCTGTCTCTGTCTGTCTCTCTCTCTCTCTCTGTCTCCATTTCTATGTCTCTGTCTCTCTTTGTGTCTCTTTCTCTCTCTCCATTTCTGTCATTCTGTTTCTCTATTTTATGTCTGTTTCTCTGTCTCTCTCTATCCTTCTCTCTGTCTCTGTCTGTCTCTCTCTGGACCCACCTCAGTTCTCAGCTCACCCATTCATTTACTGGTCCACAGATCCACCCTGAAGAGCCCCCACCAGACACCTTCCTGGGACGCTGCACCCCAACATCAATTTTGCTGCACCAGTCTCTCCCCAGTGAAGGGAAACAAGGGGAGACACCTGGGCTGGGGTTTCCAAAGTCCTGAATGAGAATGTGGTGTTCACCCACAGCCCTGCATATGGCAGCAGAAAGGAAGGGGAGCTGCCCACCTGCTGGGTCTTCCCATCATGATTCTGAGATATCTCCATTCACTTGTGCCAACCAGCCAAGCTGGACAGTCCCCACTCACACTTACGCTCAAGGTCCAGTCCCAAAATCCACATGAACTCAGCAGTTGGCCAAATAGTTTTACTTGAAATATGCTGACACATGCACTCTAGGCACAGGTTTGAGGTAAAAGCTACGACTGGTGTGTCTCAGGTGGGCCTTCTGGACTCTCCGGGGGGATGCCCTGGCTCTCCTGGCCCCGCAGATGGCTCTGCAGGATGACCCTCTGATCATGGAGAGCATTGCACATTTATCCCTGTGCATCATCCAGACATCAAATGCCTTGTGGTGTGTGCACGTGAGAACATGTGTGTGTGTATGTGTGCACATGAGAATGTGTGTGCACACATGAACATGTGTATGTGTGGAAATGTATGTGAACATGAATGTGTGTGTACGTGAATGTGTGTAGTGTGCATACGTTGCTAACCCTAAATGAGCCTTGAGTACAGAAACTGCACTTTAATTCTGGGGCCCTCTGGATCGTCTCCTTCAGCTGGGATACCTGGAACCTATAGGGTTACACGTCACAAACCAAGAACAACATGTTCATCATTGACCTTATGGTGCAGAAAGTATCTCTTTATCCACTGAACTTAAATGTCAAAACTGATAAAGAAAAACTTTTGGAAGATATTTATGTGGGAACGCACATCCCCCATTGAATGGCTCATTATAGTTGGGCCTTGAACAACCCAGGGGTTAGGGGCGCCAACTCTCACGCAGTTGAAGATTCATGCATAACTTTTGACTCCCCTAAAACTTAACTACTAGTAGTCTATTGTTGATCAGAAGCTTTACTAATAACATGAACAGTCAATTAACACATATTCTGTATGTTATACGTATAATATACTACATTCTTAGAATAGAATAAGTGAATTCAGGCACAGTGGCTTACACCTGTAATCACAACTAATTGGGAGGCTGAGGCAGGGGCATCACTGGAGCCCAGGAATTTAAGACCAGCCTGGATGACACAGCAAGATCCTATCTCTAAATAAATAAATGAATTAAGAAAGTAAGCTAGAGAATAGAGAATGTTATTGAGAAAATCACAGGGAAGAGAAGATATACTTAGAGCACTGCACTGTATTTATTGACACCATAAGTTTACATCATCTGTTTATGAGATGAATGGTCTGAAATGGTGGCAACCACGCTGCAGACCTCAATCTGTGGTGCACAGCAAACAATTCAGCTTTTTGGCAATGCTGTGATATTCCCGCTTCTTGGGGCACTTGCAACATCCCTTGTGGCACTTCGTGTGGGTCCCGGGGTGTTATTCAAGGTTTACGTTACTGGACTCAACACGAAGGAGGGAAGGTACACAAGAACTCTGAGAGATCACTCGTTACCATGCTCTGCAATTTACTGGAGAGAGAAATTGCTTCCACAGGGATGATTAAGACATTTTACTCAGAAACCCATGTCACACTATGTGCTCCAGTTAACCATGGGCAGGAATGATTGAACGCTGCATCTTTACCTTTGTCTATATTCCTCTCCACTGCAGATGGTGCCAAATTGATTGATTTATATTTTACAGGAGTAAATGATGAAATAGACTAGTATCTACATATATTGTATGAATTCACGACATCTCTAACTTTTTCTTAATGTTTTGATATTTTTAAGCTACACAGTTTGTCTTAAGAGGTTTTTACAATTGTTAAATTGTTTTCAAAAAATTTTCCAACATACTTATAGAAAACAATTGGCATACAAATGAGCCCACGCAGTTCAAGCCCATATTGTTCAAAGGTCAATTGTGTTTCTTTCCTATCACTTGCTATATTTGGGCAGCTGTGTATTATAATAGAAGAACACCAGGTTTTGGAGTCAGATAAAATTTGAGGCCTTTCTTTGCCCAGTATTAGCTGTTTGATCTTGAGCAATTCACTCTCTCAGAGCCTCCACTTTTGAGCTGTGAAATGGAATCGTGATAAAAATGTTGTCATAACTTCACATGACAGAGTGGCCAGCATGCAGGGCTCACATCCCGGATTCACATGAGTTCACTACGTGCTTTCATAAAGACACACGTCCTAAGGCAATGCTGAGCCAGGCCGTACATGTCGATTTGATGTCTGCTTTGCAGCTACCTGGCTTCCTGGCAGGGTCAGCTCTGGCAATATCCAGAACAGCATTTCCAGCCACCCCCACGACTGAAGAAAGCCCACCCCCCACCTAGGACTGCAAGACATCATCTTATTATGTTCCCTTTCCTGAAAAAAACAAAAAGGGTTGTATTCTAAAATTACATATTTTTTCTATTTATATTTATTATGAAACAATTATAGCAACAATAAAGGGAATTTAAAAGATAAACTTATTACTATGTTTTGTCATCTGATTTTTAAAAATATGTCAATAATTATTAATATAACCTTAATAATAGGACAATAATTAATATTCTCTTTCATGCAATGTGAATTTGTACATATAACTGTATAAATTTATAGTAGAATTACTTAAAATATGTTGTAAGATTTTAAAATATTTCTCAATGGTCTTTTGATTATTCTTCAAATATCATTAATTTAAGGAATATCCTTAAACATTCTCATACATATAGCTCTTTGATTCCTCTGAACTCAGTGTTGTAATGGACTCTTCTTTAGATTCAATTCTGAGGAGTGAGACTGCTTGATCAAGCAAGGGATTGTTTTTCCACTGTTTAGCCTCACAAAGAATGTGTTGTAAGTTCTACAAAAGGAAAATTAATTATTCATATATAGCTCATTTCCCCAGATAGTTCCTGTAGCTCCTTTAAAAACAATCACTCAGACCTTGTGGATCGCAGTGTGTTGATACGACTGGAAACCCTGAGCACTGAAGTTCAAGGTCAGCGGCTTGCCGTCAACAGTCAGTCAGCGGCTGGCTAGGCCATCGGGTTTCCTCGTCTGGACCGAGCCTTCGGGTTTCGTCGTCTGGACCGAGCCTTCCGGTTACCTCGTCTGCACGGAGCCTTCGGGTTGCCTCGTCTGCACGGAGCCTTCCGGTTGCCTCGTCTGGACGGAGCCTTCCGGTTGCCTCGTCTGGACGGAGCCTTCCGGTTGCCTCGTCTGGACTGAGCCTTCCGGTTACTACGTCTGGACTGAGCCTTTGGGTTTCCTCGTCTGGACTGAGCCTTTGGGTTTCCTCGTCTGGACTGAGACTTGACCCGGCTTCTTCCCACCTCTGGGACCTGGAACTCCCTATCTTTAGAGCATTTGCTTTAGAAAATGTATTATTGTATGTTCTTTCTCTGCCATTTGATACCTGAATCTTTCTAGAAGTCTCTTGCTGGCTGTACAACCCAGGACTGTCTTTCTCAAGGAGCTGGGAGCTGTCCCTTCAAAATGTGATCACTGGCAAGATGGCGTCATCTCCTGTCCCTGTGGAAGGATGGAGCCCAGCCTTGGTGGGTGCTTGGCTCTAAGCTGTGCAACCACCTCCTGTCATGAAGATGGGGGAAGCTCTCTGTTTCTTTGCAGGAGGCCAATTAACAGACAATGATGGCCCTAATCTCCTTCCCATCCCAACTTGTAGAAACCCTCTCATCCTTTGTTTCAGTGGAGTTGAATCTCTGAATCTCTCTCTCTCTCCTATCATAATAGACTTGAATAAGGTCTTCTTGCCTTCTTCGCCTTTAACTCTGGTGCAGTTTTGTCCTGACATGGCTTTAGGAAAATCATTTAGGAATTCTTCCTCTCAGTGTTGATATTATCCAAACAGGACTACCCCGAAGATCCGTGGAGAACACGTTCTAGAACTCTTAACGGCCACTCGCGACAGGCTCCCGGAACACCACTGCTTCTAGCACGTGGAATAGAGCGGGATTCGGGATGAGCTTTGCAGCCACGTGAGTCTGGGCCCCATCCCTGTCTCTGCTTGGCTTCTGGAAAGTCCTCGTCCACTTCCCTGCTTCTGAGTTCTTAGCTACAAAACAGAGTGCTCCTTAGGTGGGGAGAGAATTAACTCAAGGACATAGCTAAGTGCTTAGCAAGGTTCCTAGGGAAGTACTCAATAAAGACAGCTATCATTACTAAGATCTTCTGCCAAACATATGAGAATATTGACTTTTCCTGAAAATTTAATGGGGTATCTTTAGGTTGAGAGGATGGACCCGTGGATTTCACACAGGACGCTCCATAGTGTCCAGAGTGCTTTTCTGCCATGCTGCACGAAAGCTGTTTATCATTTCTCTCACGACTGCAATCAAGGCTGATTGGTGCAATTTTCTCATCTATTTCGTGATGAGTGTTGAAATACAGAACACATAATTTTAAGAGTTGGGAAAAGTAATTTTTAGAAGGTATCAGAGAAAAAACAAAATCACAACTTCAGAATTTGATTTCTGGTCTAAATATTAATGAGTGTACTTTGAAATGGTAATTATGGATATTTAAAGAATCTATATGAAAAAGTATTAGTTCTTATGATACTCACATATTTATTTACATTTCTGAAAATGAACTGAATGCATTTACTTTTAAATTTATGTATGCTAAATGATAAACATCAGCAATTAAATGCGTGTAAAAGCAGTCAATATGATTTTGTAAGATCACTATTTTAAGACTTCCAAATAGGACATTCAACTCATATAATTTAATCTCTTTTTTAAAAATATTGAATGCCATAGATTTATTATTATTTACCCCATTTTTTAGTTTAATACCTTTGCCATAGCCATTCTACTGGCTAATTTCATGATTTCATAAATACTTCATATAATATTTACTGACTAAAATTTTTTTATAATCTTCCTGGGAAAATGAGATGGCTCTATAGCTTACTAATGAACCACATATGTAAGATACAATAATCTCTCAAAGACACCCCAGTACCTAAAGAACATCTCAGGTGCACGGAAGGAGAATCCTCTGAAACAAGAGGGGGGAGAAGCGAAAATGTGTTGATGAGGAGCCCATGCGAAGGAAACAAAAAGGCCAAGAATTCTTCTACGAATTCTTCTGTGGAAATGTGATGGATGAAATGACCTGCATATCATCTACGACCAAGAGGCTCATGTTAACATAAGGCTTCCTTTTTGCCATTTTCAAAATAATGCATTCCTGTCACAGATAATTTCGAAAACAGAATAATTTTTAAAATGAAAGCAACAATAACTAGAAAAGCCATCACTGAGAGAAAACCACAGTTAATGTTTTATTCTATTTTCCTCCATTTTTTAATGAATATGCCTAGCACAGAAATGTTCACTTTCTGATCAATGATTGTTTATTACAACCTGTAATTAGGAGTCTTAATTTAAATACATCCGGCCTTTTCCTTCATCTCCTTCATTACCATATTCAACAAAAGTAGGAACAATGCAGAAAAATGTTGCCCAAATAAATTTTTCAAAAATGGGAAATAAATGTATTTATCATTTGATAATATTATTATGGAAATGTATTTCCCTTGTACATGTTTCCATTAAAGGCAGTCTGAAATTCCAGATTTAAATTTAAAATAAAGCAACTACAGATAGAGAATATTATTTTTGAGGATATTTTCAATTTAAGAAAACAAACCAAACTTTGAAAGACAAATCTTTATTCAAAACTTCTAACTTTAGACTGATAACTCTTTACAGTCAAATTCTCAGACTAAAAGGTACGTACATTTAAACTTTCACTTAATATTCCTATTTGTCTCTGTTTTGTGTACTCCTACATGAAAAAGACACAGGTGGTTTGTTTACATGATGCACTGAGTCACATACTAGGACACGGTGGCACCCGGCCACGGTGAGCGCATCGTCGCCTTGCTGTGGAGACACCTCTGCAGTCAGGTGGGCGGGGGCCTGGGCTAGGGCCCTGCTGCACCTCCAGGCTCCGGGCAGCCCCACCAGTGAGGTGTGTCCCCTGGAGGAAGGCTCAGTCCTTACCTACCCTAGGAACCATGAGCAGCAAACTGGCCAGACCCTGGGGCAAATTTGTATCTGATTTGTTGAAAACAATTTCAATAACAGCAGCAGCAGTAACAAAATCTAAAGTTCTTGGAATAAATGATTGTAAGTGGATGTCATAAAACACATCTCTCCCGTAAAACACACACAAACACCACATACCACATAAACACAGACACACCCTGTCATCCATTCATCCTGCCTTGATAAGCAACAGGGTGACAGCTAGAACCCATGTACCAGGTAGGGCAGGAGAATGGGTCCAGATCGTCACATTATTTTACTATTTCAAATTTTACTATTTCAATGGACCACGCAGAACAAACAATCCTCTCATTCTGCAAGCCCAAAGGGCATCTTATTTGTATGAAAGCATCTGAAGTGCAAAAGATACCTACCTTGTGAACTTTAAATAGCACCTCACAGAGGTGATAGGTCCTTTCTGCTCGCACCCAATCGAATGTGCTCACCTGCAAGAAACAGAGAACGTTCCATGAAAAGCAGCATGCTACTTTTAGTTGAAAAATTTAAAAATTTACAATAGTGTGACTGCATGTGTGTCCACCTCAATTAAATCCTAAGCCCCATTAGTATAAATTGGTAACATTAAACTTTACGTACTGCTGTGAGTTTTGATGAGTTGCCACATCCTCATCTTTGTCAGTTTGTGGCAAATATAATAGATCCTTTACCGACAGGAAAACGTCTATCTCCTTTATCTTATCTTAGATAGATAAGATTGATATCTATGATATCTTGTCTATCACATGCAATTGGGCATAATTTTAGAAAACCATTTTGGATTCCTTTTAGATTAAATTAGGGATTAATTTTGGGTAACATTTAATGCATGTGAAAGTGAATGAGTTTATATATTTACTGGAGTACAAAAATGGACAGAAAATATTGTGTAGACAGTCTTTTGCTTTTTAGAACTAAACTTAGTTCTGTTTCAGAAATGAATGAAAAATCTACTAACCAATTTAATTGAATACATTTTTCGTTGGTCTGAGCTGTTGTAGTTCACAACTATTTTAACAATAATAATGGCCAAACTAATCTCACTGTCGAATAATGCTGTATGTTTCACAATTCAAGCTCAGATATTTAATCTCTAAGTTAAAATATTTCATGCAGAAAAATCTAAAATATTCAACAATGTAACAAATTTGATGTTTTTTATTGTTGACCCTGCACTTTTTCCTTCAGCCAGTAAAAATAATCCAAAGTGCACGGAATTATGTCTTTGAAACACTGAAATTATCTTGGCTTTAATTAATTGGGGACCTTCTGGTAATCCTTGCAGCAAACAAAATTTTCAAGACATTTTTCAAGTCATCACAACTGAAATGTGGAAAGTTACACAAATAGTTTTGCTATTTAATATTTTATTGCCCTAGAGTCAGCTCATTGCAATTGTGATTTTGGCAATAAAACAATAAGTAAAGGGAACAATTTGAAAGTGAGAATGGCCAATTAGAATACGAACTTTAAGGTTCCTTTTGGATCTGGTATTCAGGCCATAAGAGTTACATCTCGAATTTGCTAGAGGGAGTTTCAGGTGCTTATTTCAGAGTTTAAAAGCCAGAACTCCAGCACCCCTTCTCTTGAGAGCTGGGGAGCCATGCTGATGGATGCCTGAAATAAAACATCACCCTGAATTCCACAGCAGTGCCCGCTGATTCCTCAACACTGCACCTGCCCCTCCCTTCCCACTCCTCCCGTTCCCACCCTGGCCAGTGTTTTATGCTACTGCCTAATGTCAGAGCTCAGGTGCTGGTTTTATTACTGGCAAATACAGAATTGTGGATCCACCATTTTTATCTTTCCCAGTTAGGACAATGCTGCTTATTTTTGAAGGCTGTAAATATAAAGGGGAAAAAAAACCCACTAAACACCCTATTCAGAGACATCTTCCCAAGTTTACTTGTTGCTATAAATACACCTTATGCATATTCATGGTTTTACACTTTTCAAAATATAGTTAGTAATATCAGCATTTTCCCATGTCATTAAATGTTATTCAGAAATACAACTGTAACTACAGCTTAGAATTTCCGTGTGGAGTTACGGTTTTTGTAAGCTTTATCTTTGTGATGGACATTGTAGATTGCTTTTAGGTTTTCACCGCTGTCATCGTGCTGTGATTAATATATCTGGTCACTGTATTAGATTATGTCACATTGAATGCATTTTCCATACTAGTCTGATATCAATATGTGACAAAACAGCAGGGATTTGAGTCATGTTCTAAGACAAAGCTTGGAGGGGGCTGTGCTCTTTGTTGTTCGCAGAAGCAGGTCTAGTCTCTCCCTCCTTCCGCTGCATCCATCATCTGTTTATTAAGCCCCTTTCTGTTCGTCCCTGTGGCGTCTGCTGGTTTTGCCGTAGTCCTGCCTTCCTCCTACTCGTTTATTCCTCCTGCCAGTGGCCGTGTCTCCCCCTGGGGATCCCTTCTCCGCTCCCAGAGCTATGACCTTGCCCACAGCCCAGGGAGGCAAGGCGCAGTCCACACACAATTCAGGCCAGAATTCTCATCATCTTCGCCAACATGATTGATTCAGGGAAGAGAATGTGCCTCGATCGCAGACACAGGTAAGAAGGTGGTCGGGCTTCGGATGGAACCATTTCTATTGTGGACTTGAAGAAAATGCTGCCACCCTGAGAGCTGTGGGAAGTCCCCTTGAGCCACATGGATGTTATGGGTGTGGCAGTATCCACACTAGCTCCTGGCTGTGACAATGTACCAGAGGATGCAAGTGTTAGGAACAGGGGAGGTGGGGGCAGTGAGGGGCACAGGCTACTCTTCACCTTCCACTGTTTTCTGTAAATCTAAAATCGTCCAAAAAACAAGTGTATTAATTAAAAAAAAAAAAGAAGAAGTGGGTCTTTCTCATCATTGTTCTTTCCCTGCTTACCTGAACCGCATGGCTTAAGGACTCAGCTCAGACCCAGCCCTGAGGCTTTTCCTGACAGCCGTGGCAGGTCTCCCTCCCCTCTTCCAAGTCCCAGAGGCCCTGCCATCGGCTTCCCCCTGCTGACACGCAGCTCAGGTGACTTCATGTGAGTGATCCTTTCTGCAGAGCACCCTCAGCCTGGCTCCAGCCTTTCACAGATATCCTTCCTCTCCCTACATGGATGTGATGTGAATGCTTCTCTAATTTAGTGAAAGTGCAGGCATCAGGTTCCTCTGAGTTTCTGCCAGAAAAAAAAAATCACCAAAAAATTCATCATGTCCATTAGGGCTCTTCTCACTTTTTATTTCACGAGTTATAGCTCTAGAAAATATCTAGGCTACAACAATTCAAGGCCGAACATGACCATGTAACAGAAGGGGGTTATTTAAGATAAAACCATGTCCAAGGTATCCAAGAAGAGCATCTCGTGTGTTGGTTAGGTTCTGCGTAGCTTGTAGTTCAGATAGGAGGTAGGTTGCTGCAACAAAAGTGAAAAAACTTGGCTAAATTGAGCTTAATGTTAGGAAAGCTAGTCAAAACCCTCTCTGTATGCATATACAAATGTGTGTGCGTGTGTGTCTATACAGTCATGCACCACGTCACGACACTTCAGTTAACAATGAACTGCACAGACCACGGTGGCCCCATAGGTTCTAATGGAGCATATACAGAAACCCGGTCGATGGAACTTGATCCTGGCCTTGCAGATCAACTAGAGGAAGGAACTCATAGGCAGTAATGGTGCCGAAACATTTGGTTTTCTATATGAAAATATACATAAATAAAAATATACAGCCCATCTAGGTTTCTGTAAATACACCCTATGATGTTTGCACAACGACAAAATTGCCTAACTGTGCATTTTCTGGAATATATACCTGTCCTTAAGCAATGCGTGGCTATACATACGTATGTGTATTAACACATGTAGTTATATATATATATATTTATATATTTATATATTTATATATATATTTATATATATATTTATATATATTTATATATATATTTATATATATTTATATATATTTATATATATTTATATATATTTATATATATATACATACAACTTTGTGTATATATATATATACACACACACACATATAATTAGAAGATTAATGTAAAGCTCAAAATTCTAGGTGTGCATAGCCCATGATGCAGTGACAATACTGAAAGCCTGGAGTACTGTTCTGAAGCAGGGCACTCCTAGTGTGTTTGTGCCATGCCTGAGTGTGGCCAGGCGTCACCTGCCGATGCAGATTCCTGCGCCCCATCCAAGCGGTTCAGATTTAGCAAGTTTGGAGTGAGGCTCAGAGATCTTGACTTTTTATTTTTAAGCAATTTATTGTTGATGTATCCATCATGACTCCCAAAGTGCAGCAAGGCCAGCAACAGCCTCGGCATCTCTGGGTCCCTGTTGGTGATGTCAAGTCTCAGGTCCGCACCAGACCTGCCATATCACAGCCTGTGTTTTCAAGAAGTATTCCCAGGTGATTCATAGGTACATTGGTGTTCTTGATGTTTTATGAGGGGAGTCTGACGTGGTGGTCTTGTGGGAAAACAACCTGAGGATAAGAAGCCTGACACCTTTTAAAAGGAAAGGAAGGCCGAGGGTGGGATGGAAGCAGCCACTGTGAATTGCAAACGAATTCCTTACTGCAGAGGCGTGTTCAATCACCGCTCATTGGACAAACGAATTCCTGACTTGGTAAATGACTGGCTCCACGCCATGGCTTCCTGAAATCCAGACTCCACGCCACGACTTCCTGAAATCCAGGGCTCCCTAATGCAGTCATCATGGCTTAGTTTACACGATTTTCCAGGACCGCACCTCTTATGTTAAAAGAGGGGAAACCCTCTGCTAAGAGGGGCCCATGCAGCGTGAACCTCTCTGAGGCACTTTATCAGCCGATTTTCTCTGGGGAATGATTTTGCATGTCCGGAGAGAGATCCACTGGCTCTACCATCATGCTTCTTCCTCAGAGCAGTGACTTAACACCAGGGCAAGGAAACACGAGGTATGCAGATTCCTGGATTTTCTCCAGACTCTCATGGAACAAAAGAGACGTAACGGATGGTAGACAAGATGGGTGGTTTTGTAACTATATATCATCACTATGGTTTTCCTAATAATGGCAATTGACAATTTTCTAAGTATCTGGCCACACTTGGCTTGAAATGGAGCCGAAATTGTAGATTACAAGATGCCATAACTTGGTACCTTTGACTGTTATCATAGAACAATGAATATGTGGCCCCAGAACAATATAGTTTGCTCCATCTACAAATCTTCATTTGAATTATTTTTTCCAAGTAATATTTTTAATGATAGAATATACCTATGTAATTGATAGTCTTAAATTGCTAATAATTCTTGCATATGCATAGGCAGTTGCTACATCATTGATATATTAATGCCATACAATTCTGTAAAATTGACTTTATAACTTATTTTGACACATTTTAATGATGTTTGAAAACAGGAATAACTGAAACATCTTTCAGATTCTAATGTACAAATCAGAAATAAATACTCTGGCTAACGAGGGAGAGTAGGGTGTGTGAGTTGTTGAGAGTCCCGGCTTTAATCTCAGCTCTTCCAGCATCTCCTGGTGCATGGGAAAGACAGAGATTAGGGACCCACCAGGGTGGGCCGGGCCCTCCTCACGGAACAACTGAGCTGTGAAACACGGACCTGCTTTTTCCACTCCAATTCCTCCTTTCCATTCTTCTATCCCATTTCCCTTCTGATACGGTTGGGGTCTGTGACTCCGCCCAAATCTCATGTCAAATTATAATCCTCACTGTTGGAGGTGGAGCCTGGTGGGAGGTGACTGCATCATGGGGGTGGATTTGCCCTTTGGTGCTGTTCTCCTAATAGAGTTTTCATGAGATCTGACTGTTTACAAGTGTGTGGCATCTTCTCCCTTCCTCTCTTCCTCCTTCTCTGGCCATGGTTCTATTCTTGTGATACAGTTCTCATGAGATCTGATTGTTTAAAAGTGTGACATCTCCTCCCGCTCCCTCTCTTCCTCCTTCTCTGGCCATGTAAGATGTGCCTACTTCCCCTTTGCCTTCTGCCACACTGTAAGTTTCCTGAGGCTTCCCCAGACGTGCTTCCTGTACAGCTTGCGGAACTGTGGGCCAATTAACCCTCTTTTCTTTATAAACTACCCAGTATCAGGCATTTCTTTAGAGCAATGTGAACACAGACGAATACACCTTCTTTTCTCTATTCTCCTTCAATATTCTTCCTCTTCCTCATCTTGAACGAGATCAAAAGCCACCGTTCAAAGAAGGACTTTACCTTTTAGTTTTTCCTAAGTTGCCATGATAATCTTTGGGTCCTTGTAAAATTCACTAAAATTTTCTGACGTAGACTGCTGAGAATCGAAGCTCTGTGAATATTTCTACATTATTGCATAGTGAGGGCTTTCTGAGCAACACTCACTGGCACCTGGAATGAAGGACGATGGTGCAGTGACCCAGCCATGGGAGTTGGCAATAGTGAATCATTCAGGGACATTTACACGGATGGCCCCTGAAGCCTTTGGTTTATATTCCAAAGTGTGATGGAAGAGAGACCTCGGCTTTCTCTCCTGAGAGAGGTCTGATTGGTGTTAGTAAGGGGGAGTCTCTCCTTCTGTGGGGAGGAGGGTGGGTGGGTGCTGAGCATCCTATATGAGCTCCGAGAGTCATGGCCCCACGTGCTTCTCCCATGGCTGACATCTCTGCCCACACAGAACTCTGGGGCAGGGATGGGGAACCAGCATTGAGACGTTCTGTGAGTAATTAACAACCTGTCTCTGATCCAAAAACCTCATGTTTATGTCAGGATAAAATACATTTAAGATACTGATGTTAAAACCTTAACATAAGGTTGTTTTAGATCTGGGCAAAGTAAGACTGCTACTGGCAAATTGCCACCAGTGCCAGGATATAAAATGTCAGGCCAGAAAAAATATTAATACATTATAAATATTTAGATGTAAATTTATTCACCATATTGTGTGTATTGATTTTGCAATGAGAAGTTGGTGAATACTAATACATGATTTTGTCTGTTAGATTCAAATGCTTTTACAGCTTTTTTTCTTTGAAATAGAGTTTCACTCTTGTTCTCCAGGCTGGAGTGCAAATATGAGGGGTTGATTTCTCCTTGATGTTCTCATTAGAGAGGACTTGATGACCTCTGCAAAACACTCAGCCCACCGCCAAGCATTAATAGGCCTCAGTACTGATTTTATAGATTATTCCACCTGTAACCAGGCAGCATCTTCTCTATGTCAGAGGTGATGCTGGACATGGTGCAGGCAGCAGGAGCCCAGCACAGGCAGCTCCCAGGTCCATGGAAACCAAATTGCATTTCCAGTGTTTTATCAAGAGAGAAAACTTCCACACCAGTGATCCATTGTATGATATTTATAATGTACTAATCATCCTTCCTTAATCTCCCTACAACCCTCTCAGGTAGGCATTTACAGTCCTCTATTCTCATTTTACAGGTGACGTTAAGTAATGACAGTTGGAGACCACTAGAAATTTATAAACTATATGAAGTCATCGGGAAGTATACAGATAAAACAAGTCAAATCAATCTAACTTTTGGATGGAATATTCATAAAAACCTGCACCTTTTTATCTCTCCAGTGCATTACTGGTATTATTGATTACCACTGAAAAAGTACAAATTATCCAGATCCAGAAGAAATGAGTGGCTTCTTTCTCGTGGATCATCAAGGATCCAGTTAGATCAACTCACGGTTCCTGCAGCCTCACAGCATCGGGAGCTCTCTGCGTACTGGGCGCCTCCAGAGTTTCTATGGCTACCCAGTTCTTGTCTCTGAACTCAAGCCTGGTGGATCTAACTCTACTCAAAAACCTCCCTTTGGAAATCTTTAAACATTTCAAACTTACAAAGATCCAGCACTCACCAATGAGTACATCCCACAGTTCCCATCTCAGCAAATGGGAGCATCACTGCCGGCTGGAGTCCCTCCTCTCACATCCACACGCCATGGTCTGGGTGTGTGTGCATGGGGTGTGCATGTGGTGTGTGCATGAGTGGTGTGCACGTGTGTGTGGTGTGTGCATGAGTGGTGTGCAGATGTGGTGTGCGTGTAGTGTGTGTGTGGTGTGTGCCTGTGGGGGGTGTGTGTCTATTTGTGTTGTGTGTGTGGTGTGCATGGTGTGTGCATGTGATGTGTGTGTGGTGTGTGCATGTGTGGTGTGTGTGGGGTTTGTGTGGTGTGTGTGCGGTGTGTGTGGTGTGTGCATGAGTGTGGTGTGTGTGGTATGTGCCTGTGGGAGGTGTGTGTTCTATTTGTATGGTGTGTGCATATGTTATGTGTGTGGTATGTGCATGTGTGTGGTGTGTGCATGTGGTGTGCGTGTGGTGTGTGCATGAGTGGTGTGTGTGTGGTGTGTGTAGTGTGTGGTGTGTGTGGTGTGTGGTGTGTGCATGTGTGTGGGTCTATGTGAGCTTCCTAAGCACTACTAGACTCAAAAGCTTCACAGACTGTGCAGTCTATATTGGTGTAATTAACAGTTATATATTTATACTTAAAAATTTAAATTATGAAACTATGCTTACTTGAGGATAACAAAATTTTTATATTTCAGAGATCTGGGCAGCTAAACTGTCAATGACCATTTTGGATGGATGCGTACACTTTAGAGTAACATCCAGCTTCCTTAAATTGCAGCCTAATGGTAAATCTATCTGGGGCTAATTCAACTTCACAGGTTTACGAAATCTTGAGAATTACTCTCTAGGCTCATTCGGGTCCTCGCTGACCCTTTACAAGGAATAGCGAGGCCTTCAGAACCACAATGATGGAAAGAAGCCCTGCTGATGGCTCTGAAGAGAGAATGGAGATGGTGCCAAGTCATCTTCTGCAGAAATTACTAGAAATAAGAAGTTAATGAAAACAATCATGTTCTAGGAATGTTCCGGAGTGTATGCAGAAGGAGAAAGAGACGATAGATAACTTTTATAGGAAAAGACAAGAAAGGGGCCATGAATACAAGATAAGGCACAGTTTCCCACACCAAAGATGAAACTGTCTCTGAGGGACTGGAAAGCAAGTAAAGGAAGAGACCTCGAGAAGAGCAAAGAGTGGGCAGAGAAGGAGAGACAGAGAGAAAGACAAAGAGAGGGAGAGACCAACAGAGAGAGCCAAAGACAGAGACAGATGGAGAAAGAGAGAGACCTCGAGAGGAGCAAAGAGGGCAGAGAAGGAGAGACAGAGAGAAAGGCAGAGATAGAGAGAAATAGAGTCAGACAGAGAGAGACAAAGACAAAGACAGATGGAGAAAGAGAGAGACCTTGAGAGGAGCAAAGAGTGGGCAGAGAAGGAGACGACAGAAAGAGACAGAGAGATGAGTCAGACAGAGGAAGAGACACAGAGAGAGTCAGACAGAGAGAGACAAAGACAGTGACAGGTGGAGAAAGAGAGAGGGATAGAAAGAGATATAAATAGAGACAGAGAGAGACAGAGACAGAGAGACAGGGAGAGAGATGGAGGGAGGAGCTGCAGCATCTGGAATGGACAAGCAGATGTTGCCAGAGGAAACATACAGGGTTTGTCTGCTAGTTTTTTATTGTTTTCAAATAGTTTAAATGACCAAGAAAGAAACCCTAACAAACCATGGCAAAGCCAGGTGGCGGAGACAGAGCACGGACTTTGTGGGCCAGAGGAAGGGGCAGGAGGCTGGCAGCCCTGGGGGAGGGAAGCACCAACCCAGCAGGCTAAGGTGTGGGCACTTCCTCTACGTGAATGAGGAGTCTGCGATTTCCAGTTCCTTCCTGGACACATAGAAATGTGACTTTGGCTTCCCGGCACGCACGGCTGGTCCTGTGGCTTTGGGCAGGTTCCTGGTCCTCACCCCAGTGCCATGCGCCCTCCTCAGCCCTCACTCTCCACAACCATATCCTGGTTTCAGACCCCCAGGAAATGATTCTCTGTCCCTTGCAAATGCTGCACTGCCCGGCCAGTGTGAGTGGCAGCGACCTCAGGGCCCTGAGGGAAGACTCGCCTGCATTTTAACAAAACAAAACTGCATTTAAAATAAGAAATGGACTCTCTACCCACAGCAGGTATGAAGAAAAAGAAGCACAACTTAAAATTTAGATACATTAGGATTTCTTTAAAAGAATTATTTCAAAATCAAACATAGTCAGGGTCTCATAATTTACAACTAAGCAGAATACAAATGAATACTGAAGGAAAGTTGCTTATTTGTATTTATTACTTTTTTCAGGCAAAGTCAGCCAGTTTCAAACAAATTATGAGAGCAAGTATCAAGAAGAACAATGACAGGCCACATACTTAGGTGGTTCCCACCGGGGAAGAAGACCAGAGAGAGTATACTCCCTGCACTCTGGATTTTCAGTACATTGTAAGAATATTCTGGTATTAAATGCAGTTAATACAACCCACAGTCTATTAAGAGAGGATTTTAAATAAATTATCCAAAACAATCCTCGGTCAAGTATATTTGTTTACTATTTTATTTACACATGACCTTCATCTGTAAAAGCAAGACTCAAATGAGAAAAAAAAAGCAAGTGAATGTGTCTGTTCAATGTGTTGCTAAGATGAAAATACCTATTTTTAGTTATCGATTTATATTACAATAGGTCTCCATGATAAAACAGTTACGATGTATCAAGATGGAGCTCTGATATTGTGTGCTCTTGCCACTCATCACTAAAATGAGGGGCCTTCAGTTGTCTCAAGAATCAAATTATATAATGGACAGAAGTGCACTACAAGCTACAAAGGAGTTTACGCACGTTAGCAATTCCAGGGACACTTTGTGACGCTGCAATCAGTTTACCAGCCGGGCCTTGCTGAGATGAGTTGGATGCTACCAGCACTCGGAGCATCCCAAGGCAGGACATAACTTCCGTGAAGACCCACGGCCAAGAAACCTGTCTGTTTTGAACCCTTGCTTTTCAATGGTTATTGAATTAGGATCTGCCCATTAGGGTTTGAAGAATCCCTGAGTTCCATAAAAGGCCAACTGGTAAACAGGCCACACAGGTAACACATGGAGTGATATGGGTCCATGGAAGTCCTCCGACACCTCAGCCCCTTCATGCATCTCCAGTGTCAGTGGTACGTGGTCCAGGTTGGGTACATGCGGTGCCAGCCACCTCCTCCGAGTCTTTCAATACCTCTGAGATGAGCTGGCATGAATATCTTAGCTCTGCTCAAAAACAAAATCAGCCCAGCCAATCAGACGTTCACCTCTGGGACTTGAATTTGAAAATATGGAGCAAATTAGCAGTAAATGTTAAAGAACATGGTTATGTTTGTTTTGAGGGGAATTCAGTCATTATTCATGCAAACATTTAGGTGCAATAAGCACAAAGTGCTGGTTTATTTCAAAACCTTGCAACTAAAGCCAATATGATATCCTATGTTATCTCTGGGGCAGAAAAAGTGCATTAGTAGAAAAACTGAAGTTTGACTGGAGGGCGAAGTGTGGTTAGTAATGCTGCATCATTGTCAAATGGTGGTTTGCCAGATGCTCCATGGCCACGTAAGTTGTGTAAATCAGGGGAGCTGAGTGGAGGCAGACGGGGCTCTCTGCACTCAATGTGCAGCTTTTCCATAAATCTGAAATGATTCTCAAGTAAAACGCTTACTTAAAAAGCCATCCTTATCAACGAAAAGACAGGCAGGGTATTACTGTCTTGATGTCTGGAGGTAAAACTTGGTTTTATCTTTTCATTTCCTTTTAATGGAAAAAAGTCCCATGAACACTGCACGTGACATGCATCCAAAACGTGTAGGTACCTGAAGCTCTCAGGTTTTTAGTTTGCTTGCAGTTCTGATGGTCAGACTCTCAAAAGTAAAGCTGTTTAAATTGATAAACTTCTAGACATTACACATTACATTCAGTCAGTTTGGGGAGAATGGTACCGGTGGGCACTGGAAAATGAAATTGCAGAACGATAGCATTCAGCCATAAATTTATATTATGGACCCCACTAAAGCAGGCTGCTTATTTTTTAAATAAAACTTGGGAGACATCCGGGAATAAAAGCTTTTAAAATTTAGAAATTGGAAACGTCTAAAAAGAGGGTTGTATTTTGTATGTTTCTTGGCTTCTTCAACTACATAATTGATCCTCTAAGACACAGAGCCTCTGCATCCCACCTCCAAACCAGCTGGAATTTGAGGAAGGAATAAGCTCTACAATATCTTAATGGCTATTTGAACTAAAGAAAGAAATGGGTTAATTTATAAATTTGGAGCAAGAAATAAGCAATCTACAAGCAGAATCCTTTCCAACCATGCAGAAACAGCAAACGGCAGGACCAAGCACTCTGTCTGTCCTCCTCCAAACACCAGATGTAGCTTTCCCCCTCCTACAGGAATAGCCCTCCCAGCAGCCCCTCCCTGTGGAGTGTCAAAAGCATCCTTACCGGAGGAGTGCTGAAAACGTAGAAGGACGGGCCCTTCAGTGCTAGGAACTTGGGTCTGAAGGTTTGAGAGGAGTCAGCTCCTTGGAGTTTCTCATTTACCCACCCCATATGCACAACCTGCAGAGGGGTGAAAATTACAAACCAAGCCTTAATGAGGGCATACTGTCACAGCAGCAGAGTTAAGCACATGAGCAAGCCATGATCCCATCAGGTCAACACACCCAGAATCAGGAGACGGGAGAAACGTGGAGATGTCCAAGTTTCCAAATCAAGTTCACACAATAGGAATGAATCACATCTTGAATTAAAAATTCAGTTTTGCATTGAACCAGGTTTTATATATGAGCACTTTCAGTTTTGGCCAATGGACTTCTCAGCTGCCTTAGAGTTGTTGGTTTATCTTTTAAAACGACTGTATTGAATTATATTCTATTAGAAGGTAGTATTTCAGATTTTTCTATGAGGTAGTAAAAACAGCTAATTATATTTTTCATTCCTATAGTGAACATAGAAGTTGGCATATGTGGAAAAATAATTGTTTCTCTTTATGGTTCAACTTCTTAACAACAATGAAATAATGTAAAATATTAGATTCTTACAATGAGCAGTGAATATTTTGAGCCGTATGATATAAAATCCAACCTATCAAAATCAGAATATGATTCAAAAACATTTAAATAATAATCCAATTTAAGAATTCAGTGAATTCAATCTAATATTAAAGAAAAATCCATGTTATCTAAAATTTTAATGTGACATATTTTGTAGCAAGTACCAGGAGTAATTTCATTATAATTCTTTCATTTTCTCATTCTATTTCAAGGAAAACCTATTAACATATGCTTAGCATTAAAAACTTAAAAAAATAAAAATAAGTTATCACAGAGATCCCAACCACTTTACCAAATGACACTGACCGATGAGCTATTAAAAGTTGAGAACCAGCTGGGACCTGGACACCCCTCAAGTGTGCAAGCCCCATGCACCCACGAAGTGCCCTCTGCTGGAGCCGCCCAGGTAAGTCCCGTCACAGCCGGCGCCAGCTCCAGGATGGGCGCATCCTGTTTCTGATATTTACTTGATAAACCACTGAAGGTCTTCACTCTTAAGCTGGAGAGACTTCCTGGGAAGTCGAGATGCTAGAGGACAGAATCAGATTTCTACAAACGGTATTTCTAGCAATGGGAAAGAAAATTAGGAGCACTGTCTTGTAGGGCGGGGACGCGTAGCCGAACAGCTATCATCATGGTTTTCAGTGTTGAATACGAATCCCCTGATGCATTAAACGTTTTAGTTTTGTCTTTCTTGACTGTTCTGGATTTAGAAGGCTTTTCAAAGTAACCCAAATATTTCACTGGATCATGAACTTCCAAGTTCCTAGTGGGTTATACTTACGTCCCATGGAGGCTCAGGAACCACATAGATGTGGTATGGGGTTAATGTTGCAGTAACACAGGACGACTTTATTTCCCCGAGACCCTCCCCAGCAAAGCACATTTAACATTGCCAAGGCTCTCTTTTTCCATCATGAAACGGGTAGAATTCTAGATCTCACGTGAGAATTACGGGAATTTCACAGTGTCCCATAGGAATCCCTCATAAGGCACTAGCTGGGGGCAAATGCCAGGGACATTCATACCTGGAAAAGCCACTGATGTGTAATTTACTCCTCCAGTGTCTGAATTTGAAACCAAATACACAGATTATTTTAAAATACCTAATAGATTTTTTCCTTTTTTGTCTGGTTGGGTCACATACTTATATTTTTGTTGGTTATAACACTAGCATTTATACTCTGTAAATCATAAAAGCCTCCATTTAAAAATGCATCTTTTTCTAGCAAATTTAGCAGATGCTTGATGTTTCCATAATTAACATGAATTCAATGCGTGATTAATTCCAGCTCACTACTGCACAAGTGCAGTGATTTGTACAGTTTAAGATAGGATTCATTTGAAGCATAGTTACTAAAAACAATTGCAAACACAGTGGCTTCCACACAGTCATGAAAAGAATATTATGCAGGCAGTTTGTTCAGCAAGAAAAGAGTTCACATTCCAGGAAGACCAGGCACATGGCCCTGAGCAGGCTGCCCAGGTCATCTTACGCACATTTGAGTGCCTTGCTAAAGCTCTTGAGGAGGACTTATTTCTTTTTTTTTTCCTTTTTTTTTATTATTATACTTTAAGTTTTAGGGTACATGTGCACAATGTGCAGGTTACATATGTATACATGTGCCATGTTGGTGTGCTGCACCCACTAACGTGTCATCTAGCATTAGGTATATCTCCCAATGCTATCCCTCCCCCCTCCCCCCACCCGACAACAGTCCCCAGAGTGTGATGTTCCCCTTCCTGTGTCCATGTGTTCTCATTGTTCAATTCCCATCTATGAGTGAGAACATGCGGTGTTTGGTTTTTTGTCCTTGCGATAGTTTACTGAGAATGTTGATTTCCAGTTTCATCCATGTCCCTACAAAGGACATGAACTCATCATTTTTTATGGCCTTATTAGGCGAGGTTTCACAAACAATGATGACCATATCTTCAAATCTAAATCTTCGGAGCAGCTGGCTGCTGGATAACTGCAGCAGGCAAAAACAAGCTTATTGTATTTGTCAGGATGGCTGAGTGGAAGACCTTTCTTTTACTGATTAGCATCAAAGTGTGGAACCAGAATTTCTAGAAAATGTAGGAAATTGCCTGAGTTCTAAATTATTGCAAACTGTTTTTTTTTTTTTTTTTTTTTGAGATGGAGTCTCGCTCTGTCACCCAGGCTGGAGTGCAGTGGTGCAATCTTGGCTCACTGCAAGCTCTGCCTCCCAGGTTCACGCCATTCTCCTGCCTCAGCCTCCCGAGTAGCTGGGACCAGAGGCGCCCGCCACCACGCCCTGCTAATTTTTTGTATTTTTAGTAGAGACAGGGTTTCACCGTGTTAGCCAGGATGGTCTCAATCTCCTGCCCTCGTGATCCGCCAGCCTCGGCCTCCCAAAGTGCTGGGATTACAGGCGTGAGCCCCCGCGCCCGGCCTGCAAACTTTTAAGAATCAGCAACAAGCACAAAAAGTCTGGTTTGACCCCATATTTATTACGAGGAGTCACACCAATATCCTCGTCAAATCACAAAGTTAGTAAGAGGGAGGAGTAGAGAATAATCACATCCAGAAAAAAGAACGAAACAAAAAACGAGCGAATGGCGAACACATCCCCTTCTGCAGGTCCCTGCCAACGTGGTCTGAGAGTCTTTAAAATTCACGAAACAAATACTAGTTCTGATGAGAAATTCTAAGGGTCACAGCCTAATTAGATTCATACGGGGTAGAGAGATTTAAAGTGATGTTTTTCTTTTGCCTGCAGGGCAAACTCTGCTGGTTTTACTTCCTCCACTTCCCCAGCCACCCCCACCACCACCCTGGCCCCAGGCCAGAGTCTTGCTCTGTCGCCCGGGCTGGAGTGCAGTGGCACGCTCTTGGCTCACTGCAACCTCCGCCTCCAGGGTTGAAGCGATTCTCCTGCCTCAGCCTCCCAGGTAGCTGGGATTACAGGCGCGTGCCACCACGCCCGGCTAATTTTTGTATTTTTAGTAGAGACGGGGTTTCACCATGTTGGCCAGTCCGGTCTTCAACTCCTGGCCTCCTGATCTGCCCACCTCGGCTCCCTCATTTTTTAAATCACGTGTTCACATACTGTCGAGTTTCCTTGATCTTACTCGTTCTGTTCACGAAACACTTAATCATGCGCTGCAATTTAGATTTCACAAGGGATGAACTATGAATAGGAAACTGATGTGCAGGAACTTAATCTAACGGCCGTAACACTCAGGAATATCTAAATACAGAGGACAGATGGGTGAGAGATTGATTTACATTACAGGTAGATCAAGGGCGAGTAGAAAGTTGAAAGTATGCATTCTTGAATCTTGGCTAAAATAGAGAACTTGGGATTCTTTTTCCAGCATGGCAGCAGCAAGCCTTCTTTTTGGAGGAGAACTTGATCAAGGGTGGAATTACCATCTAATTCTGATTGAGCAGAGTTACTCTGTTTCTGAGGAGCTGCAGGTACCAGCTGGAATCCGAGCACCCAGACCTGGGAGGCCCCATGAGCTGTACACCCACCTCCCTTCCCCAGGGCTGCTTGCTCTTTCTTCCCCCTGGGCTGGGACAGTGTTGGGCTCTTCTTCTTTTCTATATCGGGTTGACACAGTGTTTGGCACAAAGTTCAAGGAGAGTTATGTATTAAGGAGTGAATAAAGAGCTACTGTTGGCCCAAGATGGCAATAATAGACCGCCAGTAATCTGAAATGCCTGTTAGTTGCATGAGCTTAATTAAATCACACAAGTAATTGAATTATGCTAGATTTAGCAAAGAAATACGTTATAGCTTTGCTATTGTTGGAAACATCGGATGCTTTCTGAATCTTTCTTAGGTATATGCAGTTCATAAATAATTTTAAGCAAAGCTAATTTTATCTTCTACATTATGAATTTTCTAATTACACATTCCAAGAAGTGTGTATTATACTTTTAGAAACATCTCCCTGACTGTACCACCTTAATAAGGATGTCATAACCATTATAATAAAGAAATATATTTTTTATCTTTTCTGATACCATTTCTATAAGAGAGTCCTCTTCTTTTCACCCCATCAGTCAAGATAATTAGTTAAGCGTCCACCAGATGATAACATGCAGCTGGTCTTTTCCTTTAGCTAGAAAAAGCCAGAATTACCTGTGTTATTTAGGGTTTTCTGCAGGGGGTCAGGGAGATTTGGCAATTAAGGCATCATCAATAGCTACCTAAATTAAAATTCAGGTTATTCAAAAATAAGTTTAATTTGGAAAGAAATAGGGCTGCTTGCTATTTGGTGGGGTGAGCATATGTTTGTTTGCAGTTATCTTGGTAATGTTTTCAGGTTAGTCTTTGTCCCAGACAAAAGTGCTCTGGTTTGTATGATAAATTATTTGGTTATTTTATATACCAGATATGAGAGTCTAAAAATGCATACATTATGCTTTTTGTAGTATTCTCCTAATTCTGTTTTTTGTGTGTTTTTGTTTGCCAATTTCAGTGGTTGTTAAACACCTTTATTTATCCTTTCACATAAATTTTTTTGACATAAAATTCGCATTTTTCACATTAACAATTATCTCACAATTATTTGTTAAATACCAAAATCAAGAATGAATTGTTCAGAGTGAAAAAAAATTTTCTTTCTGTTTTAAAGGGCCTAATGTCTTAAATTTAAACTCCTAACATTTGTACAAAGCACACCACTTTTGGAGAAAACGTGAAACCATCCTCCACCAAAAGCGCATCCGGATATAGCAGGGCTAGTTCTTCATCATCCTACATAATGAAGCTCAGCTCTAAGATCAATTTCCAAATAAACTACTCCAAGCTGCTAAGTAAATTCAAAGTTGTATAGGACTTTTAAGGTTGTAAAAAGGACCTTAAATTACCCAGTACAACTTTCTTATATTACAGATAAAGAAATTAAGCCTCAGGAGTGAATTTGTTAAAATTACAACACCAGAGAAGGGTTTGGTCAGGGTTATCAGGTCCAGGGTTTGCCTTTGGCTTTTTGCTTTGTCAAACAAGGCCACCAAGATCGATGTGAAATACACAAGGCTTAATATGTGGGAGAATTTCACTGAGATGAAGCAAAAACAAGGCCGCCCACTGCCTCTGAGGTCTCTGGAAGATGCTCCTTCAATGTGCTCCATAGCGGAAACTGTGCTCCCTACAGGTTTTTACATTTCTCTGAACCATTATTTCATCATTCTCTCTTGTCAGTTGATGATAAGGAGGATTAAGGGGTGGGGAGAGGGTGAAGGATAGCATTTGGAGATATACTTAATGTTAAATGATGAGTTACTGGGTGCAGCGCACCACATGGTACATGTATACATATGTAACTAACCTGCACGTTGTGCACATGTACCCTGAAACTTAAAGTATAATAATAATAATAAAAAAAAAAGAAAATGCTTTCCTCTCCGGAGCAGTGCTCTTTCCAACATGAGGAGTAATTCCAGTATAGCTACAAAAGTCAGCATTTCTCTGAAACACGTAAAGGCCAAGTCCATAAATGCTGCCCATTCCCACGTATGCTCTCCACTTGCGGACATCACTGTTTAGCATCAAGGATCTGTCTGCAAGGTGACAACCCCTCTGAGGGTCGGGAGAGGACGGCTGTCCTCATGACGAACAAACTGAGAAACAGGGAAGAAGCAGCCAACACTGAGAAATACCAGAAGCTGCGGCTCCTCCTAAGATCTCGGAAGAGTCTCAGCTTTGCCATAAAGAGGATCTCAGGAAACATTTTGCTAATTTTGCGTGTGTGAATAAGATGCAATTTCAAAATGGTAAATTATTCATAGAGATCATGTCAAAACTTTGGCCCACTGTCCCACCAGCCTTGATAAAGGCTGTTTCCTGTGTGAACCATAGAGAGATATGTACTTTGTGGAAAAGTTTCAGAACTTCTGTTTCAAAAACACATAGTAGGGAAATGATATTTTATGTATAAGAATATGAAATGAATCCTATATTAATTTGAAGAATTTATAGAAATATTAATCATAAAATATCTATGTAAACAAAAATAGTTGATGGTAATTTTAGAATAATATTAAAAGAGATAAAAGTTAGAAGAACCATTTATTCTTAGTGTTTCTTTTCTAATGTAGAAATGTTGACTAGAGAGGTTTAATTTAAAACACAGCCCTATTTTCCCATTGTTTTAGTAAATATTTCATAGGCAGAGGACCTGCTCTTCTCAAGTCCTCCATCGTGAATTCAAATATTCTTGCTAAGCACTATTTAAAGTCTTTTGTGCGCTATTTAAAGCAAAGCGAACATGTTTTTCTCAGTTTTCTTAACTTGAGGCTATGATGCATGCTTCCTTACGCCCCTAAGAGATGTAACCAGAAAATGAATGAACTATAAATAACATACTCCCTTACATTACAAGTTAAATCATAAGTTTATTATAAAGGAAACAGAAGAATAACACAGTGGCTTAAAAACTGATTTGGCTGATATTGAAACAGCTTGATTACCATAGAGTTTTCCTAAGTACTCATAGACGTGGGAAGTGAGCAGAAAATCAGGCCTGAGGGTGGCTACAAAGGTAGCTATCCTGAATCCAGGACAACGTTAAGGGCTCTGGGCTCCAGGTGAACAAACTGCCTGGATTTGGGGATGACAGGATCCTACCCACTGGCAATAACACCCACTGGGCCAAAGCCCTCCTGAGAATGAAGCTTTCCTAGTAAGGATTTTATTTAAGAAAATAATATAATGCTTAAAATTTCAAATTACACAGGTGTGTCATCTCAAAGCCCTTCTCAGTTTAAACAATCATATCTAAATCATCATTTAAATCACGATTCTTTACAAAACATAACTGCCAATAGAGAAATAATCTATACACAGGAGATCAGAATGACCTATGCTATTCCCACAGAAAGAGCAGTTTTATAGAATTAACAGGCAGGGCAGAGACCACCAAATGCAGTCTGAAATGTGCTAATGTTTTCCTATCAACATTTTCAAATCAAATTTCAAAAAACCAGAGACTGCTTTTCGAGATGTGTTACATCATGAATCAGAAAATACAAACCCTACCTGATGTGTTACATCATGAAGCAGAAAATACAAACCCTACCTGGTCGGAAGGAGAGCAGCATTTGTTCGCCATCTTCATCTGTGGAGAGAAGGCAGAAGAGTCAGGGCCACAGCCACCAACACCAGGATGGCTCACCTGAGTGACAGCTGGAAGTCATCAGCCACGCTCTGTCCTGGGAAACAGGCCTCTTTAATGACATATTTCCTATCTGAAGACCTAGCCAGAGTCAATACAAACATGGCAGCAGTAGAAAACAACTTTACTAGCAGGCTTCAATTCCTCTTTTTCAAATATCAGCATTTATGTAAGTGAAGTTACACTTCAAGAGCAGGTGCTTAAATTCCAATATCTGAGAAAAGTGAGGAAATGATTTCTGCTCTACATAACCTTGTGAGAGTCAGTATTACTGTGATGGTAATTACGGTGATCACAGTTGATATTCTTTCTTTTATTTAGTTCTCCCAATGACCTATGGAGGTAGATGTTGTTTTCCAAAATTTCACCGAGGAAGTGGAGGTGCAGAATCATAATGTTCCCACAGCCCACAGCCACACAGCCGGGAGGCAGCTCAGAGTCCACATTTCTGTTCTGAAATATTGGGGTGTCTGACTTCTCTGCCCTGCCTATGAGGGCTGATTTGTGAAATGACAGAACTGAAGGGCGCTCCTCGTCACAAACATTTCTGCAAATATAAGTCAAGCACCATCCTTTCTTCCCTATTTATTGAGATAACTTTGGAATTTAAAGTGTTGCGTTTGAAAACTACAATGTTAGGAAGGTCCTGGTACTTCCTTCTCTGCTTGCAGAAAGGAAGCCCCTGAGGTCTTCACAGGAGAAATGTCACACATTGCTGCTTCCCCCAGTGTTAGGTTAACTTCTGTTTTGCAGCCACAGGAAGAAGGGAGGTTGCAAGGGAGACGTGAGGTGGTGGGCAGGGCAGGGGCAGGGCGGGTGCATCTGCAGGGCCGCAGGGTGGGCCACGCCTGGCCAGTCTGCAAGCTGGACCCAGCCTCTGCAGCCTCCAGGCTGCGAAGGAACAGAGCAGGGATCGAAGTGCAATTACAGGGCAACTCAGCTTAGAGGGAGCAAGGGCAGCAAGGCTGGTCCAGGGCCGCCTCCAGGCACGGCCAGTCCTGCCACAGTTGCCAGGGCTGCGGCCACGGCTCCATGTCCGAGTCCAGGCACCCATCACTCCAGGCAACGCCCGTGTCATCAAGTCTTCGTTCCCACCCCATCTCTTTTCATTTCTTTAATTTTTAAAATCCTGTTGACTTTTAATATCAAACATCACTTAAGGGGACAGAATACTTTTTCGTTTCTGGGGGACTGCAGTACAAATTTGAGAAGTAATGTTTTTGCTCAATTATGCCTTTTTCTAAATCTTCATAATGTTTGGGAGAATTATACTTTTAACTCAATTAGGTTTCCCCAACTCAAAATGTCACACTGTATCAATGCATTTGGGTAAAATATAAAATTATGACATATAACTATTTCTGTATATGTGTGTGGAGAGAAAGAGAGAGGAAGGGAGGGAGAGAGACAGAGGCAGACAGAGGGGAGGAGGAAGACAAAACCAGATGGGAAATTCTCAGCTGTTAGACATTGCCTTACTCTTTGATTTGGAAACATTCTGATGGCTTCATTTTTAATGTTTTTAGACATAGATTTGACACATTGAAACAAGTACATGATTTTCTGTTTCGGGTTAATCATAAATCATCAGAAACATGATGTCTCCATTATTTTTCATGCACGAATGAGCATCAGCAGAGACTCAGAAACACCGTGTGCTCACGTTCTGAAGTGTCAGCTCCCTGATGTTGGCTGAGACCGCCCGCAGCCAGTCGGTGCCATCCTGGGCTGTGTAAAACCGGAGGATCCCAGAGCTGACTCCGTCCAGGGCGAGCACCTCGAACGCATTCCACCTGGGGAGGGAGAGAGCTGTCCAGGAGGCCCCGCAGCGACGGGAGCGGGCCTGCCTCCGTGAGTTTCGAGGCTGATGCTCAGCAGGGCTCTACCCTGGACCCAGGACATGGGGCAACTGCACCACTTCCTCAGGCGCCTCAGTACAGTCAGCAGGCTCGCTGAGACCAAGACCAAACCCCGAATTCCCTTGGTAACAGGAGCTACTTCTAATTCGATGAAACATGAAAAGCACTTTGTCAAGGAAAGAACAGTGCTCCTGAAATTCTGGAGTTATTGTCTGCAGGATTCTTACTGGTTATTCTTTCGAAGACCCTTTGGATGGAGCACTTAAAGCTCCTGATGGGGTGAGGCTGGAGCAGCCCAGCACCCTCTGCACTCAGCATCCACCCTTCTCTAGGACCACCTGTGTGCTTCTGATTGACAGGGGAGCTTTGGGAGAACATAGTCCCCTTCCACTGCTCCATGACACTCCACTTGCTGAGAACTCAATCATGGCAAAGTATTAACAACCAACCGTCTCAAATTCAGTAGTTCTTCCCTGTCATGCAATATTTTTTAAAAACATACTTTACATATGCCTATTTGCAAAAGAGAAATGTCATGTACACTTTTATAGACTTTTTCTTAAGAAAATAGTGCATATTGGCCGGGCGCAGTGGCTCACGCCTATAATCACAGGACGTTGGAAGACTGAGGTAGGTGGATCACTTGAGGTCAGGAGTTCGAAATCAGCCTGGCCAACATGGTGAAGTCCCATCTCTACGAAAAATACAAAAATTAGCCGGGCATGGTGGCACACACCTGTAGCTCCAGCTACTCGGAAGGCTACGGCAGGAGAATCTCCTGAACCCAGGAGGCAGAGGTTGCAGTGAGCCGAGATCACACCACTGCACTCCAGCCTGGGCAACAGAGTGAGACCCTATCTGAAAAAAAAAAGAAAAAAAGAAAACAATGCATATTAATGTATATGACTCATAATACCTCCATGGTCTCAAGCAGCTAACTGAAGATAAAATACAGAACAAAGCAAACATATTTTTTTAAAAAAATAAGTCATCACTAAGCTATGTTCTAATAATCTTTCAAATGTGAGTGTCATCGCTGCTTTCTTAGGCAAGGTGGGGTGTGTAGGAGAAGGGGTAGGAAACAGAGATGGTATAACACAGTTCTGCATATTTTTGAGCCAAATCTATCAGACCAGAGTTTGCTATTTTAAAAGTCATTCTTTTAAAAAGCTGACATCCCTGTCTAGGGGTCATTCTCATTCTAATTAGTGTTTCTTGAATCAGAATGTGAGGTTTATCTACTTGTGGCTGATATTCTGCCTGATGGCGATGAACAAGGTACTCTTGACTTGGCAGGAGGACAGAGGTGAAGGTGGAGGTGACTGTGTGGAGCCGGAGAGGGGAAGAAGCCAGAGGAAGCAGGTCCCCTGCATGGGGAGGGCAGGCAGCTCTGCCTCCACCTTCGCACAGCCCTTTCTGATCACCTTTCCTGGTCCTCCTGGGGAGCACCTGTCCCTCAGGATCCATCGCTTCCCGTGGGGCCTTTGGTCCTGGATGTCTGCTATAATAAATTAATTTTTACACTTCAAAATGCTGGGAGACTATTTTAGGCAGATTGTGTAATATTCCACATGAATTAGGTGCTTATTAAATATTGACAGACTTATATCTACACTTTTGTCCAAGTATCCATTAATTCTTATTAAAGTAAGTGCTAACTAAAAATGGGTTCATTGCCATCATTTCTCATTTGTTCATGTTAACTGGTGCGACATATACAAAGCAAGGCTGACCTTAATCTAGTGGTTAATAAACAGCTGGGTCAAGTAGATTATTGCGGACGACAGCCAAGTTCCCTGGCTCCCCACATGAAGAGGTCAGAGACTATTATTTTTAGGCATATTTTACATTGAGCTACAGGACACACACACACGCACACAACTCACCAGTGAACACCTCGATAAACAGTCATGTATTCCATACTCTTGGCCAACCAACTCTCAGACCAAAAACAGACTTTAGAAGAATCCTCAAAAGTTCCCTGTGTCCCATCCTCCAATTTTCCCCATCTCAGAGCTCTACGCTTTTATTCTTTCAGAAGAGCCTGTTCTTCTCCAAAGGCCTGGGGAGGAACAGGGGGTGGTGCCAGTGTGGGCCAGGGGCAGCTTTTCCTGGATCCAGCTAGACTAGGGGGCCTGCAGGGATCCTGGGGCAGCGTGGGGGTAAGGGTGCCTCCTCTCATGAATCGGGGGTGCCTCGTGGGGCCTGCAGGGACCTCAGGGCAGCGTGGGGCAGGGGTCCCCCCTCTCATGAATCGGGGGTGCCTGGTGGGGCCTGCAGGGACCTCAGGGCAGCGTGGGGCAGGGGCCCCCCTCTCATGAATAGGGTGTGCCTGGTGGGGCCTGCAGGGACCTCAGGGCAGCATGGGGTAGGGGCGCCCCCTCTCATGAATCGGGGGTGCCTGGTGGGGCCTGCAGGGACCTCAGGGCAGCGTGGGGCAGGGGTCCCCCCTCTCATGAATCGGGGGTGCCTGGTGGGGCCTGCAGGGACCTCAGGGCAGCGTGGGGCAGGGGCCCCCCTCTCATGAATAGGGTGTGCCTGGTGGGGCCTGCAGGGACCTCAGGGCAGCATGGGGTAGGGGCGCCCCCTCTCATGAATCGGGGGTGCCTGGTGGGGCCTGTAGGGACCTCAGGGCAGAGTGGGGTAGGGGCGCCCCCTCTCATGAATCGGGGGTGCCTGGTGGGGCCTGCAGGGACCTCAGGGCAGCATGGGGGCAGGGGTCCCCCCTCTCATGAATTGGGGGTCCCTGGTTGCGCGTGAGGGCGTGTGAAGGACACGCATGGTCACCGCTTGGCTCCAGCTCACATGTACTAACGACAGTGTCTTCTCAGGGAGTTGGCATTTCCTGATTCTCAGGGTTGGTGACGTATGCACCAAATGCATGGATGACTGAACACTGGGTGCTCTCAGCAGGGTCAGTACTGTGGTCATCCTCGTAAAGTCAGTGGTGAGAAGGAATCTGAGTCCAGAGTCCTAACTCTGCCTTTGGAGGTTTACACCATCATTGATGTAGCAGGAATAAGATGTGAGTAGAGACAGTGGACCCAGGCTCCATGAAGGACCCTTTATCGATGCTGTGGTCTTGAGAAAGATCATCAGCTTTGCCCCCTGAGGCAGTGAATGCACGTGGAGCCCCAGAGGCTCACGGACTCGCACGAGGGGCAGACGGCTGTGTCCTGCAATAAAAAGGAAGGCGTCTGCAGTCCAGGCACGTTTATGCCATAGCTTCATGAGGCAGGCTGGACATCTCACCTCTGAGCTGGGCTTTCCTTGTCCGTACGATGGGCTTCAAATGCCAACCGTACCACAAAATAGGAATACTGAGAGGAACAAATGGGATAACTGAAACAAAGTTATTTGTAAGCCCGTAAGTACCATATAAACATTATTAGTCTGTAATTTATCAAAGAAAGCAATAAAAATTAAGTATCAAATGAACAGAAACTGTGAAAGTTGTTGACATGAATGCTGATGGCAGATACTAACATGTTAATGAAACAGGGAAAGAAAGTTCACAGCGTGGCTCACTGTTGGTTCACTGTTTGGTTTATTGTTATAGAAGCCGGGTAACTAGTGTAAGTCACGCAATCTGCTTTCAGGCACGTCTGGATGCAAGATCAGGAGCCGCTTCTTCCAGGGCATTTCTGGGCCTTTGTTTCCTCCGAGTTTCACGGTTTCCTCCGAGTTTCCTCCGTGGCTCACAGTTGGAACCCGGCCTCTCTACCCGCCTCATGGTGGCCGCTCAGGCCTTTTAGGATGGTGTTCACGTGGCCAAGGTCATTATCGGAGCTAAAATTCACAGAGCATCTGCTGCTCAGGAGCTAACATGCTCTTTGATGGACACACATGAGATTGTAGGAAGCTGCTGTAAGCAAAGCCACACCAAGTGAAGGCAGAGCGCTTGGCACCCCGGGGTCCACCGAGAAGAAACCAAACCAGCTCCCAGACACTCGCCATCCATGGGGAAGTCAAGCACTGACTGTGTCGGCACTTTTGAAAAGTCTACCCTCCTCCCAGGGTTTCCTCGTGCCCTTAGAGAATTTTTCAATTCCAAAGAGAAAACTGAAAATAGACTTATACTCTAGAAAGTGAATCAATTCAGTTTTTGGCTAAGAGAAATAAATTTATTCCAATAACGTTCAAAGCACATGTCTTAACGTATTAGGACATTAAGGAATTGAAGTTACGTGCTCAGGTCTCCACCTCCTGTGGAGGACAGCCAGTCTGTTTAAGCCGTTCTTCCTGCGCTCTTGACTGTGGGCTCAGTGCCAGCCTCAACCCTGCACCCTGCGGCTCCTGCCGGGAAAAGCCCCACAGCCCAGCTCTCATGTGCCCGGTCACACTGCCTGCCTTCGCTGCGGTCTTCCTGTCCACATGCAGAAAGGCCTCCGAATCCCGCCCACACCGCTGGGAATCTTCCTGTCACAAAACACACCTCAACAGATTTGACCCTTTTTCAAATCATCTGTTTCAGCGGAAACCAATCACAGAGCATTAGCAGTTGTCATTAAAGCCCCAAACCGAGACCCCTGCTACATCCGCTACCAATGACCACTCTTCCAACCTTCTGCTTCCCTTGTGCTGTGGGATTCCAGTAACTATAAAATTTGACCCTAAAAACTGAGAATTCTTAATTGCTCGTCAAAGCTTCAATGCCGGAGAAAGTCAAAATGTGTAAATCGCCTTTTTAATAAGCTGTCCAGTTTTTAAAGAATAAATACATTGGAACGTACAAAATTTAACCAAGGAAGCTTTCATCCATAAATGATGGCTGGTGGCCTTCATTACAACCACAGCCTGTCACTCCCTGTCGGCTCTGGCCACCACCTCCCTCTGTGCCTGTGGTAACAGAGAGGAAAGGTGTGCATTGCACACATGCCTGTTTACTTTAAGCCTTCATGCTTTGGAAAATAAGGAGAGTGTGCATGTGTGTGTGTGTGCATGTGTGTGTATTTTAGCTCATGACTGAAAATTACGAGTACTCGAGACAAAAACAGAACGTGTATGTTTCAGAATTTGAAAAATCTTGAAATTTCGTTCACATATTTTATTTTAAAACTGTCTCTGTAGTATATTATTTTTTAGTACAATTTAGAAAAATATATTTTTTCTACTTCCCTGTCATGCAGTGGCATTTCTAAATAGTCCATATTAAATATTAATAAAGAGGGCTAATTTAAGTTCAGGAACTATGTAGTAACTTGTTCATTAAAAAGTCATGGTGGGCTGGGCATGGTGGCTCATGCCTGTAATCCCAGCACTTTGAGAGGCTGAGGCCAGCAGATCACCTGAGGTCAGGAGTTCAAGACCAGCCTGACCAACATGGTGAAACCCCGTCTCTACTAAAAATACAAAACATAGCCAGGCATGGTGGCGGGCCTGTAGTCCCAGCTGCTTGGGAGGCTGAGGCAGGAGAATCCCTTGAACCTGGGAGGCGGAGGTTGCAGTGAGCCGAGATCATATCACTGCACTCTGGCCTGGGCAACTAAGTCTCCGTCTCAGGGGAAAAAAAAAAGTCATTTTTACCAGAAATTCAGGCCACAAATAAAGTGTTCACTCGAGACAAAGAAAAGTTCAATAGGTCCAAGAAAGAGAATTTCTCCCCTGTGGTGTCTCACAGGGCACCTCCTCACCCTTCTCTGTCACTTCCCATTGGTTCATGAGAACAGGGTTTGGGTCTTCTGAGCCCCTCACTTCCCCGGGCAGTGCTGCAGAAGCAGGAGAGGCAGGAGGCCCCATCCGTGCAGGCCATGCTGAGGCCAGTGAGTGGGGCACTGGAGCACGATGTCCAGGGACTCCCTGAAGGCCTCCCTATGGATGGGAAGAACAGGAAGCAGCCTTCAGGAATGCTGTGCACGTCCATGCATCTTGCCGTGGAGCCATCACGAGCCTGTGTGTTTGCTGAGGGCCTCAGCACAGAGGGCGTCCTGCATTTGTTCATTCCACCACGGCCAGCACTAACAGCCCTGGCACTCAGTAGGCACACGTGAGTGTTTGCTTTGTGAGTAAATGTTTGAGAAGACCCAGCAGGATTCCAGCACCTGGGTTTGTCACGGGAAGGTGGTGTCTACACTCCCCTCTGCCTGCTGCCTGCTGGTAGGACTGACTCCACCCTATCTCAGCCACGCTGTGGGGTTCCCTCATCTGACAATGGGCTCACACCACTGGGCTGTAAGAAGGAAACAGAGGAGGGAGGTGAAGGGAGGAGCTCATGGCTGGCATATGCACATTTAGCACATCCTCATGATCATTTTCCTCTCCACTGGGGACCATCTGGAGCGAGGGCACAGTGCTGCATTGAATGGCTTGTGCTTCCTTTCATACCCACACTGCGGGGCATGTCACCTGATTATAAGAACTGGTCATATATGATAGTGGCAGCAGTAGCTGTAACAACAACAGAGAACTAAATAAAGGCCATCACTCATTACGAGCTGGCTTTGTGCCAGGCTCTATCCTAAGTAATTCACGTTTCGGATCTATTTCACCCCCGCAGTGACCCTATGGAAGAGGCATTGTCATTATCCTAAGTAATTCACCTTTTGGATCTATTTCACCCCCGCAGTTACCCTATGGAAGAGGCACTGTCATTATCCTAAGTAGGTCACCTTTCAGATCTATTTCACCCTCGCAGTGACCCTATGGAAGAGGCACTGTCATTATCCTAAGTAGGTCACCTTTCGGATCTATTTCACCCTCGCAGTGACCCTATGGAAGAGGCACTGTCATTATCCTAAGTAATTCACCTTTCGGATCTATTTCACCCTCGCAGTGACCCTATGGAAGAGGCACTGTCATTATCCTAAGTAATTCACCTTTCGGATCTATTTCCCTCTCGCAGTGATCCTATGGAAGAGGCACTGTCATTATCCTAAGTAACTTACGTTTCGGATCTATTTCACCCTCGCAGTGACCCTACGGAAGAGGCACTGTCATTATCCTAAGTAACTTATGTTTCAGATCTATTTCACCCCTGCAGTGACCCTATGGAAGAGGCACTGTCATTTCAACTGCACAGGGTACAGGACAGTAGGTAGCGGGGGCTTGTGCCACTGGCCGGGCTGAAGAGCTGCTGAGTGTGGGGCCCGGGCCTAGGCTTGGGAATGTCTGGCGCCCCACGCTGTCGACCAGGGCACTGTGCTATCCGTAAGGTGGGACCCATGGATCTGGGCACTGCGCTGCCCACAAGGTGGAATGGTTATCTGCGTTTACTCCAGGGATGCACAACCAGCATCCAGGGGCTCAGTGCTTCTTCTTGGTTATCTGAGATCAAACGAGACCAACCAATTGGCCTCGACCACCCAGGTGGGCACCCCCAGCAGCAGGCAGGACAGAGGGTGATCTGTGATCACAATGGGACTTCGCTTTTCATCCAGGTGAAGGCATCACTCACAGAACTGTCCCGAAATCTTCTCGGCTTCAGCATCGGCCTTTTCTTCTCTGTAAACTGCTCCTGAGTCCCGGCCCCCAGACATCCAAGTTTCCAGTGCCCGTCCCTCTGATCCTGGCTGCCCGCGCCATCTGTTTATAAAATTGTGTCTGATATACCAGGCAGGTCATCATAACACAACAGCATGCCTAAGTTTGCTCACTGATCTTTGTTTCCTTTTTCCATTTCAAAGAATAAAACATCATCATTAAAACAATGCTGTATCCTGGTAGTGAGAGGTGACAGCGTGCTGGCAGTACTCACAGCCCTCGCTCGCTCTCGGCGCCTCCTCTGCCTGGGCTCCCACCTTGGCAGCACTTGAGGAGCCCTTCAGCCCACCGCTGCACTGTGGGAGCCCCTCTCTGGGCTGGCCAAGGCTGGAGTCCACTCCCTCAGCTTGCAGGGAGGTGTGGAGGGAGAGGCACGAGCGGGAACGGGGGCTGCGTGCGGCGCTTGCGGGCCAGCTGGAGTTCCGGGTGGGCGTAGGCTTGGCGGGCTCCGCACTCGGAGCAGCCGGCCCTGCCGGCCTCGGGCAATAAGGGACTTAGCACCCGGGCCAGCGGCTGCGGAGGGTGTACTGGGTCCCCCAGCAGTGCCAGCCCACCGGCGCTGCACTCAATTTCTCACTGGGCCTTGGCTGCCTTCCGGCGGGGCAGGACTTAGGACCTGCAGCCCGCCACGCCTGAGCCTCCCACCCCCTCCATTGGCTCCTGTGCGGCCCGAGCCTCCCCAATGAACACCGCCCCCTGCTCCACAGCGCCCAGTTCCATCGACCACCCAAGGGCTGAGGAATGCGAGCGCACGGCGCGGGACTGGCAGGCAGCTCCACCTGCAGCCCCGGTGCCGGATCCACTGGGTGAAGCCAGCTGGGCTCCTGAGTCTGGTGGGGACTTGGAGAACCTTTATGTCTAGCTCAGGGATTGTAAATACACCAATCGGCACTCTGTATCTAGCTCAAGGTTTGTAAACACGCCAATCAGCACCCTGTATCTAGCTCAGGGTTTGTGAATGCACCAATGGACACTCTGTATCTAGCTACTCTAGTGGGGCCTTGGAGAACTTTTGTGTCAATACTCTGTATCTAACCTGATGGGAACGTGGAGAACCTTTGTATCTAGCTCAGGGATTGTAAACGCACCAATCAGCACCCTGTCAAAACAGACCACTAGGCTCTACCAATCAGCAGGATGTGGGTGGGACCAGATAAGAGAATAAAAGCAGGCTGCCCAAGCCAGCAGTGGCAACCCGCTCCGGTCCCCTTCCACACTGTGGAAGCTTTGTTCTTTTGCTCTTTGCAATAAATCCTGCTACTGCTCACTCTTTGGGTCCACGCTGCTTTTATGAGCTGTAACACTCATCACAGAGGTCTGCAGCTTCACTCCTGAAGCCAGAGAGACCACGAGCCCACCAGGAGGAACAAACAACTCCAGACGCACCGCCTTAAGAGCTGTAACACTCACCGCGAAGGTCTGCAGCTTCACTCCTGAGCCAGCGAGACCACGAACCCACCAGAAGGAAGAAACTCTGAACACATCCAAACATCAGAAGGAACAAACTCCAGACGCGCTGCCCTAAGAGCTGTAACACTCACCGCGAGGGTCCGCGGCTTCGTTCTTGAAGTCAGTGAGACCAAGAACCCACCAATTCTGGACACAGTAGCCTGCATGAATCCAGAGTGAAAATTATCTGGACTATCAAATGGAACATGGGTGGAGGCTGCACACCTGACAACGAACGGAGCAACAGAAGCCGTGGCCGCGCTTTTACCCAACACCAAAGTCGGCTCCTGTCCCTTTAGTCCACAGCTTCCTAAAACCAAGTGGCTCAGGGCCCGGGACACAGCAGTAATTTCTAAGTAACGTGAGAAAATGTTGAGATCTGTTGATAAAAGGAAGCCCAGAGCAGGCCCTCCAAGGTGGGCAAGAGCCTGGGTGTGCAGGCATGGACCATGGCAGTGGAAGTTGAGGGTCTCCCAGGGGCTGGACAGCTGTGCTGAACGGGGCCTGGGTGAGAGAGAGGCGCTCCTCCCCCCAGCAGGGAACCACAGCCAGAAACCAGATGGATCAGGGCCAGAGCCGGCCTTGCAGTCCATGTTCTCTGATCCTAAGAGAACCATATTTTGTAAATGTCAAAGCCACATTTTAAGCACACATGTGAACATGGGTAATTCACAGTCCATGACCACGAGGGCCCCCCGCCAGCTCGAAAGTGCAGACGTGAGTGGAGCTTCATCCCACGCTGGGAGGTCACAGGGCTGAGTGTGCACGGGAATGACAGAAGCACTAGCTGAGATCTGAGACATGGTACAGCACTCAGTCCACACAGTGCAGCACTCAGACACTCAGACCCCAGCCTTGAGTCGCAGAAAGGCCTGGACACTGCAGGTGCTGTCTCATCCCCAGCACGAGGCGGGAGGCTTCATCCCCTGCACGAGGCGGGAGGCTGCCAGCCTCTCAGGCTCTCTTCCTCATTTTTAGAATGGAGTCCGACCTGCCCAGCAGAGCGGTGTTTGGTGCCACAGAATGCAGCAAAGTGCCCTCGCTTACACCCAGCAGAACTTTAATAGCGGCACCAGTATGAGCAGAAGAATCACCAGGGAACTTGTTTATATTTTATACAAGTTGACTGTAAAACATAATCATGTCTCAGAGGAAATGATTAATTCCACCAGAGGACAGACACCAAGGCTGACCGCAACAGGCCAGTGCTACCTTCAAGCCCTAACTTTGGTGGAGACCCAAGCTCAGCTTCCCCAGCTGCGGCTGCACAGGCCCACACTCCAACAGGCCTGAGGAGCTTGTGTGGAAGCTGCAGGACTCCAGGGTGGATACCGTGGGGAAACGGATTCGTGGCGGAGCGGACGAGCTCAAAGGCTGTCTGCCGTGACTCTCCCTCCCACACCAACAATGCTGTTGATTAGAGTCACATGGGCGGCTCCTCCACTTCCGGAGCGAACACCCACCTGCAGCAGCAGACGCTGGACACCAGCCAGGGGCCGACTGTCCTCCACCCATCCGTGGCCTCGGCATAGCAGCCATCAGCTGGACAGGCTGTTAGTCCTATAGGAATCCTTCCTACCCTGGAAAGTGCACACAGTAGGTGCTCAATTCCTGCTTGGAAATAAATGCATGTTTTGTTTGCTTCTGTTCAAGAGCTATTTCATCATCACTGGAAGAGATTTTGTATGTTTGGTTTGGTTTTGTTGTTAAGGGCAAATGCAGAATTAACTTAGGAGAAAACACCGCAGAACCTCTTTCAGTGATGATAAAATAACTCTATAAAAATGTAAACACTGATTTAAAATACACAGTTGGGGTGGTGCTGAATGTACAAGGACACTTATACATCGCACCTCTCCCTTAGGGCAGACAGCACGCAGGGCACCTGCTTTCTGTCCAGGGAAGCAAGGCAGCTGCCTGTTACAGGTGCTGTGAAGTGTGTCTAATGGGCTTGATTATGGGCTCAAATTCCTCATGTTTGAAAAAACAAACACATTTTAAGAGTTCACTTTACATAATGAGTGAAGTTACTGTTAAAAATTCAAAATACAATCAATTTGAAACAGAGATAGATTTATTGTCTATAAAAATAAAACAGTCTAAAAGATTCTTACAGGCTAAATTTACTGGGACTAAGTCCTAATCTCTCAAAATTTAGTTTTCTATAACTATTTTGCATAAGAGACTTGCGGTTTTACCTATAGCTGAAGAAAATTAAGATAAGAAGCCTGGCTTGGTCTCCACCTTTTCTCTCAGTTCAGTCGAAGAGTGTCCTTCACAAGCTGGGTCCCACGTTTCTCTCGGTGTGAGCCTTGGTGTATCACAGGCTTCCGTGTCCAGGAGGTCACTGTCATGGCCTCGAGGCCTTGCACCTCCATTTAGCAGAGCTTTGGTTTCCTGTGTCTTTCCATACTGATGGGGTGATTCCAACGGAAATGCCGCCTGTATTCCCAGTTGGTGCTGGGGATGGAGCGTGGCACGGCCCCACCCACTGCTGCCTATGCTTCCGATTTAACCTCTATGAAGCTGGGTGACTGGCAGAATGGGCGCCATGTACATGGAGAACATTCTGAGCAATCATCCCGTTTTTGAGAAACACACATTGTGTTCAACAGTCCTCCAGGTCCTCTTCCAGGGATCAACCTTCATTTTAAAATCCAAATCCACCTTTCTAATGACATAACCATGTAGGTTTCCTCTAAATTGACAATAACCTAACAGGCTATCTCAAAGCCCATGGAATCAAAATCAATGGTTATAAACCAGTAGAATTTGGTATTGGTCAATAGAATGCCTTACATTCCAACTTTAATGCATTTTTGAAAGTTTTAATATGTTTTTGAAAGTTATCATTTAATCACATAATCCACAGCAAGGTTTTTTTTTTTCTTTTTTCCAGTGTAGTGAATGGTATTAAATGGTGGTCAAGAAATGTTTCCCACATAAAATCTGATCACTGAATACACGGCTGGTGTTAATGGGCCTCCGTGTGCCCTCAGATTGTGCCCTGCCCAGGTGTGCTAAGCTGCACACACCGTGGGCTGCACCTCCTGAGTCAAAGATGAGAAAGACCTGGTGTCACTCAAGAGCAGGACGAATCATCCCTGAGCATCTGCACTTTTCTACTTCATTCAGATCCCTGGGAACGAACGTCTCTGCAATGATTTCTTAGTCCAGACGGTGCTTAAATTCCACCCCAAAATGCAGACGTGAGTGGAGCTTTGTCCCACACTGGGAGGTCACAGGACTGAGTGTGCACAGGAATGACAGAAGCGCTGGCTCAAAGAGCCGCCCGTCAATGTTTCCTGCCAACCGTAAGCTACGGACTTTACAGAACCACAAAAGCAGTAAAAGCCGACTCTCAAGAGAGGACCGGACACAAGGATGCGCAATTCCACCTCCTGGCACTGCTTTTCTGCGGCTTACTTTACGACCGGTCAACGATGTGCAAAGAATTCTTAGGCTCCTTTCACAAAAGCATCCTGATTCTTTTCATACTCCTGCATACGTCTTTAAATATTTAATACTTTTGGGAGAAATGAGGACGGATAACACATAGATTACTAACAACTGCATTTAAAACGAGGATAAAAAGAACCAGCTGGCACATATTCTTGCACACCTTGTAATAAACACCGTGTAAATTACTTTATATGCTGCAGTGGTTTTAGCCCTCACAATCATCCTATGAAGAAAGTCCTGTTGTTATAATGTTAAAGATGAAGAAATCAAGGAGGATGTAGATTCACCAATTTTCCCAAGGTGACTCATAAGGCCAGAAGTGGTTAAGGCAGGGACACACATACACAAGTGAGCTTTATAAAGAACTCAGTCTCCGATTCACAACCTCAGTTCTTAACTAACAAAGAGCCTCTTCTGTACATTAAAGCCACGTGAATGGCCACTGCTTACACAGCTCAATGTTTTCCTGCCTAACACTGCATTTTTCCTATATATTTGTTTAGGTGTTAAACACAACTGCACCTGCTGGAGGGGTTCCGTGAACTCCAGGAACGTAACCACTCTTGTGACCTGAGTTATCACGGCTTCCATTCTTTCTCCTGGGATGGAAACGCTGCGTCTGAAATGAGCCATAGAGTGAGGCGAGCCCCGATTCAGAACACCCAGGCAAGGCCTGCAGACTGGACCCAGTCCAGGTAAACATAAAAATCTCTACAACAGGAAACCATTCAGCCAGGAGGATAGTTTTGCGTTTCCAGATAAGACTGAGAATGAGGTGAGGGGAACATGGAATGCATTCTGCAGATGCCGCCGAGGGTTCTGTCTGTACCTCCTCCTCCCACGCTGGGCACGCGGCATCAGAGAGGCCTTGGGACACTCCAGGTGAGGGGCCTGGGAGGCAGAGCATGGGGAGATTTGGTCTCTGAGGTAAGCACAGAGCAGGTAACAGGAGGGGTGGCCATGCAGCAGAGGAGGCGAGAGGGGGATGAGGAGGCTGGGAAGCCAGGTCAAAGGTCAAGGGTCAGGTGGCATCCCCAGGACTGTGCTCCAGGCAGAGGCACAGATAGAAGAAAAAATGAAATTAAATCCAGTTTTTGAAGAGTGTGACTTCCATAGTAATGGAAAAGTTTGGCCTAATTCCTAAAAGTGGAGTGTCCCTAGCAACTCCCATCCCCAAGTCTGGGGTCAAATTCCCAGTGGATTGAACGTGGCTCCCCAAACGTTCAGTGTTGAAATCCTAGCCCCCGAGGCAGTCGTGTTGGAAGGTGGGGCCTTTGAGAGGTGATGAGGTCCTGAGGGTGCAGCCTGACGGGGTCTGTGCCCTTACAGAAGAGGCCGCAGGGAGACCCTCACCCCTTCCTCCACAGGGAGACACAGAGAGAAGGTGCCATCTGCAATGCAGGACAGGCCCTCACCAGACTGACCACCTGACCCTGCACTTGCAGCCTTCAGAGCTCGAGGGACGCATGCCTGCTGCATAAGGCCACCCATCTGTGGAATTGGGCTACGGCCTCCAGAGCTCGAGGGACGCATGTCTGCTGCATAAGGCCACCCATCTGTGTGCTGCGTAAGGCCACCCATCTGTGGAACTAAGGTCACCCATCTGTGGAACTGGGCTATGGCAGCCCACACTGACTAAAACGAGGTCTTCAGAGCCAGGTTAGTGTGCTGAGGTCATGTACACCCTGAAGGTCTCGTGCCTTTAAAACCTTCTCCATCCACTCTTTCCACCAGACACGCCTGGCTCCTCCCTCTTTGGGGATTAATTTGGCCCAATACGAATGATGTCACTGATAGTTCTCCCCTTTCAGCATCAGGAAAACTCAGTGACTTTGGTTCATGTTTAGTTGTAATGGGGAGGGTGCCAGGAAATTGAGGTGAGGGGTTCATGGTAAAATGACTCTGGCCACAGCTGTGGTTGTGGGGCTAGGAGCACAGGGATCCCAGGATGCACTGAGGAATCCGACGCAGTTGGCAGAGACACAAGATCAGTGCCCGGGCTGCAGGCAGGACAGGGAGACGCCCTCCATCACTGCGCTGCTTTCCTCTACAGCGATTCAGCACCTCCACGGCAGGACAGGGAGACGCCCTCCATCACTGCGCCGCCTTCCTCTACAGCGATCCAGCACCTCCAGCAGCAGGCAGGACAGGGAGACGCACTCCATCACTGCACCACTTTCCTCTACAGCGATCCAGCACCTCCAGCAGCAGGCAGGACAGGGAGACGCCCTCCATCACTGCACCACTTTCCTCTACAGCGATCCAGCACCTCCAGCAGCAGGCAGGACAGGGAGGCGCCCTCCATCACTGCACCACTTTCCTCTACAGCGATTCAGCACCTCCACAGCAGGACAGGGAGACACCCTCCATCCTGCACCGCCTTCCTCTACAGCGATCCAGCACCTCCAGCAGCAGGCAGGACAGGGAGACGCCCTCCATCACTGCACCACTTTCCTCTACAGCGATCCAGCACCTCCACCAGCAGGCAGGACAGGGAGACGCCCTCCATCACTGCGCCGGTTTCCTCTACAGCGATCCAGCACCTCCAGCAGCAGGCAGGACAGGGAGACGCCCTCCATCACTGCACCGCTTTCCTCTACAGCGATCCAGCACCTCCAGCAGCAGGCAGGACAGGGAGACGCCCTCCATCACTGCACCACTTTCCTCTACAGCGATCCAGCACCTCCAGCAGCAGGCAGGACAGGGAGACGCCCTCCATCACTGCGCCGCTTTCCTCTACAGCGATCCAGCACCTCCAGCAGCAGGCAGGACAGGGAGACGCCCTCCATCACTGCACCACTTTCCTCTACAGCGGTCCAGCACCTCCAGCAGCAGGCAGGACAGGGAGACACCCTCCATCACTGCACCACTTTCCTCTACAGCGATCCAGCACCTCCAGCAGCAGGCAGGACAGGGAGACGCCCTCCATCACTGCACCACTTTCCTCTACAGCGATCCAGCACCTCCAGCAGCAGGCAGGACAGGGAGACGCCCTCCATCACTGCACCGCTTTCCTCTACAGCGATCCAGCACCTCCAGCAGCAGGCAGGACAGGGAGACGCCCTCCATCACTGCACCACTTTCCTCTACAGCGATCCAGCACCTCCAGCAGCAGGCAGGACAGGGAGACGCCCTCCATCACTGCGCCGCTTTCCTCTACAGCGATCCAGCACCTCCAGCAGCAGGCAGGACAGGGAGACGCCCTCCATCACTGCACCACTTTCCTCTACAGCGATCCAGCACTTCCAGCAGCAGGCAGGACAGGGAGACGCCCTCCATCACTGCACCACTTTCCTCTACAGCGATCCAGCACCTCCACCAGCAGGCAGGACAGGGAGACGCCCTCCATCACTGCACCACTTTCCTCTACAGCGATCCAGCACCTCCAGCAGCAGGCAGGACAGGGAGACGCCCTCCATCACTGCACCGCTTTCCTCTACAGCGATCCAGCACCTCCAGCAGCAGGCAGGACAGGGAGACGCCCTCCATCACTGCACCGCTTTCCTCTACAGCGATCCAGCACCTCCAGCAGCAGGCAGGACAGGGAGACGCCCTCCATCACTGCGCCGGTTTCCTCTACAGCGATCCAGCACCTCCAGCAGCAGGCAGGACAGGGAGACGCCCTCCATCACTGCGCCGGTTTCCTCTACAGCGATCCAGCACCTCCAGCAGCAGGCAGGACAGGGAGACGCCCTCCATCACTGCACCACTTTCCTCTACAGCGATCCAGCACCTCCAGCAGCAGGCAGGACAGGGAGACGCCCTCCATCACTGCGCCGCTTTCCTCTACAGCGATCCAGCACCTCCAGCAGCAGGCAGGACAGGGAGACGCCCTCCATCACTGCACCACTTTCCTCTACAGCGGTCCAGCACCTCCAGCAGCAGGCAGGACAGGGAGACACCCTCCATCACTGCACCACTTTCCTCTACAGCGATCCAGCACCTCCAGCAGCAGGCAGGACAGGGAGACGCCCTCCATCACTGCACCACTTTCCTCTACAGCGATCCAGCACCTCCAGCAGCAGGCAGGACAGGGAGACGCCCTCCATCACTGCACCGCTTTCCTCTACAGCGATCCAGCACCTCCAGCAGCAGGCAGGACAGGGAGACGCCCTCCATCACTGCACCACTTTCCTCTACAGCGATCCAGCACCTCCAGCAGCAGGCAGGACAGGGAGGCGCCCTCCATCACTGCACCACTTTCCTCTACAGCGATCCAGCACCTCCAGCTTAAGAAGCCCCTCCTGTTCATTTTCATCACAAACTCTGATAGCCTATGAAATCTCCACACACAAAGGAAAGAAAAATCAAATTAATGTTTAAAGCAGACAACTTGTTACGAATTTATCTTGCTTGGATACGAAGAAAAGATCTTAATGCCCAAAAGCGGAGACTTTGCAGCATCTTTTCATAGACAGGGCGCTAATCCCTTACAGTCAAAATGAAAAAAAACGAATAATCCTCAGAGGTGAAAAGAAAAGATCCTCGACTGAGAGGCTGCAGAGGGAGAAAAAGAGAGACAAAGACAGAGATAGGCAGAGACAGAGAGAGACAGAGAGAGACAGAGAGAGACAGAGAGACAGAGAGAGACAGAGACAGACAGAGAGACAGAGAGAGACAGAGACAGAGACAGAGAGAAACAGAGACAGAGACAGAGAGAGACAGAGAGAGACAGAGAGAGACAGAGACAGAGACAGAGAGAGACAGAGAGAGACAGAGAGAGACAGAGAGAGACAGAGACAGAGACAGAGACAGAGATAGGCAGAGACAGAGAGAGACAGAGACAGAGATAGAGACAGAGACAGACAGAAACAGAGACAGAGATAGGCAGAGACAGAGAGAGACACAGACAGAGACAGAGAGAGGCAGAGACAGAGACAGAGACAGAGATAGGCAGAGACAGAGAGAGACAGAGACAGAGATAGAGACAGAGACAGACAGAAACAGAGACAGAGATAGGCAGAGACAGAGAGAGACACAGACAGAGACAGAGAGAGGCAGAGACAGAGACAGAGACAGAGACAGAGATAGGCAGAGACAGAGAGAGACAGAGACAGAGATAGAGACAGAGACAGACAGAAACAGAGACAGAGATAGGCAGAGACAGAGAGAGACACAGACAGAGACAGAGAGAGACAGAGACAGAGATAGAGACAGAGACAGAGACAGAGAGAAACAGAGAGAGAGAGAGACAGAGACAGAGAGAGACAGAGACAGAGATAGAGACAGAGACAGAGAGAGACAGAGACAGAGATAGGCAGAGACAGAGACACAGACAGAGACAGAGAGAGGCAGAGACAGAGAGACAGAGACAGAGAGAGACAGAGACAAAACCAGAGACTGAAAGGGACAGAGAGAGACAGAGGGAGGGGCAGAGAGACACAGAGAGAGGCAGAGACAGAGGCAGAGACAGTGACAGAGAGACAGAGACAGGGAGAGACAGAGAGGGACTAACAGAGGCAGAGCTAGAGACAGAGAGAGACAGAGACAGAGAGGGACAAAGAGAGAGACAGAGAGAAGCAGAGACAGAGACAGAGAGAGGCAGATGCAGAGACAGAGAGAGACAGAGACAAAACCAGAGACTGAGAGGGACACAGAGAGACAGAGGGAGGGGCAGAGAGACACAGAGAGAGGCAGAGACAGAGGCAGAGACAGCGACAGAGAGACAGAGACAGGGAGAGACAGAGAGGGACTAACAGAGGCAGAGCTAGAGACAGAGACAGAGAGAGACAGAGACAGAGAGGGACAAAGAGAGAGACAGAGGCAGAGACAGAGAGAGACAGAGACAGAGACAGAGAGACAGAGAGAGGCAGAGGCAGAGACAGAGAGAGGCAGAGGCAGAGACAGAGAGAGACAGAGACAAAACCAGAGACTGAGAGGGACAGAGAGAGACAGAGGGAGGGGCAGAGAGACACAGAGAGGCAGAGACAGAGGCAGAGACAGTGACAGACAGAGACAGGGAGAGAGAGAGGGACTAACAGAGGCAGAGCTAGAGACAGAGACAGAGAGAGACAGAGAGGGACAAAGAGACAGAGAGAGACAGAGAGAGACAGAGACAGAGAGACAGAGACAGAGAGAGGCAGAGGCAGAGACAGAGAGAGACAGAGACAAAACCAGAGACTGAGAGGGACAGAGACAGAGGGAGGGGCAGAGAGACACAGAGAGAGGCAGAGACAGAGGCAGAGACAGCAACAGAGAGACAGAGACAGGGAGAGACAGAGACAGAGAGGGACAGAGAGACAGAGAGAGGCAGAGACAGAGACAGACCTCTGAGAGACAGAGAGAGGCAGAGGCAGAGACAGACTCAGAGACAGAGGAGCACCCGGGGAATCTCGGAAGCAGTGTCACACAGTGCGGGTGGGGACCACTGCCCCAGAGAAAGCGTAACGGAGCCTAGAGAAGTGAGTTGGGAGAATGACACAGATGCAGAGTGATTTCTCAAGAATGATTCTGAATTCCCAGGAAAGAAGGAGCAGATGCAGTTCCACCCAGAGAAGGCAACTCAGAGCTGCTCCGCACATCTGTTGGATGGGGAGGGGTGTCAGGGTGCCTCCGAAAATCAGCAGCCCTTGTTCTCTATCAGAGCAAACTCAGGAGAGCTACCTTAGGTAGTCATTCATCTGCTTAGCAGTGGGTCCACCCTGATTCACCTACGTGCCCGTGGAGGGGGCGGCCCAGGGCTGGGCACCACGGAAGACACCCCCACCAGAACTGCCGGGTGTTGAAGGCAGCACTGGCTTCTGAGAAGACTTAAGGACCTCCAGATCTTAAACACGTGGCCCCTGCCCTTATCAGAGTAGGACACATGCCAGAGAACTGGGCGTTTGTAGAGATCTAAGTGGAATGGGATTATTCTCTTTCTGTCAACATGAACACCCTAATCTTCTATCGTCAAAAGAAAGTTTTCAGAAAATTTAAAGATGGCGTAATGAGAAAGAAACAGCAGCTCTGTCACCTGCTAGCAGCCAGCAGGGCTGTGGGGTTCCTCTGAAAAACACAGAGTCCCACATGTCATCAACCTCAGACCGGGGCTCTCCAGGGACATGAGGCAACAAGGCAGAGCAGCAGCAGGGGACACACGACATGCCGTCCAACCACAAAGGTCCCATAGGTCCCTGGCGGGCTGCTGGCCTGAGGGAGGGGCTGCTGCTCCCACAAGCCTGGCCTGGATCCTGCCACTTCCTGTCTCATGCTCCTGGATAGAAATTAAGCCAGACACTGCTGACACAGCCCACGCTCTGACGGCACCCAGTGCAGGGCAAGCCCTGATCTCCTGGCCCTTCCTAGAACCACCCAACACATTCCCACATTCCATAACAAGCCCCCTTTCCTGAGGCCCCACAGCTGCCAGGACACTGTCTCCCTGGAAGCCCGGGTAAGGAGTGCCCTGTGTGCGGGACGCGTGAGCTCAGAGCATCGAGTGCTGTGCTCTTGGGATGGACGAATTCCAGAAAACTCACCACAGGATTCTTTTTGGTATGACTATTTAAACATGATACTCTCCTTTGCAAAACAAATTAGAGTATTTAGCAGTATAATTCTGACTTGCAGTATCACTTTTCAAAATCTGCTTATCTGTAGTAGGTCTGTTTCCATTATGACTACTATAGAGCCCATCTGCCTTCTTCTTCTGAAATAAGGTGAGTGCCTACAAAGCAAATGAAATTTTATTGTAACTCACAAAACATAATTTCATTGTATTTTTAAAAAACATGGTAGATGTGGGGCAAAAAGACCCCTAAGCTGAGGGTTTTCTCTCTTCCTCCCTTACTACTTAACTCCCTCCCTTTCCCTCTTCCTCTCCGCCTCCCCTCCCCTCGCCTCCCCTCCACTCCCCTCCCTTCCCTTTCTTTCCTTCTATGTTTTAGAAAAAAAAAAGAAAGTCAATTACTTTTAATCAATTTGAGGCCTGCCTAAAACAAGAGGCATGGACAGGGCTCCTGTGAGCAGATAAATAAAAAGCAGTTCCTCCTGTAAAGAGTTGCATAAAAAGCAGTTCCTCCTGTAAAGAGTTGCAAAGTGATGCACAGAAATTCTGTGGCACAGAGATTCTGGAGCTGTTTAATTGCTCATCTTTGGGGATAATCACTCAAATCTGAATTTCCTGCCTTCTGTTCAGTCATTCCTTATTCCATAAACAATTTGTATTGGTCCATTCTCACACTGCCATAGAGAAATACGCAAGACTGGATAATTTATAAGGAAAAGAGGCTTCCTTGGCTCTGGTGGCACAGGTTGTACAGGAAGCATGGCGACATCTGCTGGGACTCTGGGGAGGCCTCAGGAAACTTACAATCATGGCGGAAGGCAAAGGGGGAGCCAGCACTTGACATGGGCATAGCAGGAGTTGGAAGGAAAGAGGGCAGGTGCCATACACTTTTAACAGCTGGTTCTCATGAGAACTCACTCACTATCACAACAGTACCGAGGGGTTGGGTGCTAAACCACTCATGAGAAATCTGCCCCGTGATCCAGTCACCTCCCACCAGGACCTACCTCCAGCACTGGGGATTATATTTCAACATGAGATTTGGGTGGAAACCCAGACCTAAACCGCATCACAATTAAAAATCACTGAACTCCTGCTGCTTCAAACCTCCTTTAAACGTACAGTTTTATTTTTTCTTACCTTCATAAACTATCTTAGAAAGCAGTAAAGTATTATATCATCTCCCACCCTACTTGGTTAAACCAGCAAAGAAGCCATCACAAGAGCCCCCATGAGTTACCTAGGTCATGGCCCCAAGAGGGTGAAGCAGGATTAGAAATCTCTTAGTTCCTATCCCCGTACTATTCCTTCATACCACCTGCTTCCCCAGGGGCACATCCCAGAGGCACCACAGCTCTTCCTCTTTTCTGAGCCTCTTGTGAAGCTTCCTCACTTGCAAAATGATTGTGGATACTTTTCAAGCACAGACATTTCTCTTGTTCTTAAGTATTTCTTCACTCTCTATTTTCTGAAACACACATGCTATGGGCAGGAGCCTGGCTCAAATCCAGCTTTGTCCAACGGTACCATGTGGAAGAACAGCCAACCATCATCCAAGCCACTTTTGTTTTAAAAGGATGAATTTCTAAGAAGCGTGGACGTGCTATGGGCTTTCCAGAGGGAAACAGAGGTTGAGACACTAGAGCAGGCAGAGTTCTAAGGCAGCCCCCAGTTCTCAGACCTTGGTGGAAACATCTGCTCCAGTTATTCAATCAACAGAAACTAGGTGTTTCTGTGAAGGGATTCTGCAAATGCAATCAACGTCTCAACTCAGCTGACCTTGAGTTAGGGAGATTTATGCAGGGGTACAGCCTGAACACATGGCCCTTTACGTCTGGGTCTAGAGGTCAGAGTGAAGGAAGTCATAGATTGGAGGCTTATGGGGTTACCTGTTACCTGCTGCTGGCTTGAGGGCAGAGGGTGACCATGTCAATGAACATGGTGGTCTCTGGTGGTGGAGAGCAGCCCTTGGCTGACAAAGGTGGGGAACTGAGTCCTATAAAGTCAAGGGACTGAATTCTGCCAGCAACCCTGAGTGAGCCTTGAAGATGGGAACACAGCCCAGCCGACACCTTGGTTTCAGCCTGGTGAGATCCCAAGCAGAGGACCAGCCGGGAGCTGCCGGACTCCTGACCCATGAGGACTGTGAGATAATAAAACAGTCTTGTGTTACCTGCTAAGTTTGCACAGGTTTGTTACATGGCAATAGAAAACTGATATGGTAAAGACAGACAAAACTCTAGCATCTCCACCACCATGGCCACCCCATCAACAATGCTTTTCTTCACCTGATGTCAGAGAAATGTCTGCATAACAGACATTTCTACATAACAGAAATGTACATACATTTCTACATACAATGTACTACATTTCTACATAATAGAAATGTAGACTACATAATGTCTATATAAGCCAGTAGTCAGGATCGCATGGTTATGCTAAGTTACCTGTGATGCTGCATAACGACCTACCGAGTGTCACAGGACAGGGGTTATTTTCCTGTTGGAGAACTTGAGGGAAAGCCCCACTCTGTGGCATCTGCTGATGTCCATTAGGAAGAATGCTTATGTTTTTATGTCTTTTTTAGTTTCATCTCAATATTCTCCCTTCAAATTCTTAGTGAACAATCTTTTCTCGTACTGTGTAGCCAATGATTTAATCCTCATTCACAATGACACATAATTTATCCAAATGCATAGTTCCCATTTTACCAAAGAACCACTTGAGTATAAGCTTGATCTGACAATGGAATGGAGGAAAATAACTTCTGCCAGTGCACGGGCTTGTAACATGTTGGAGGCAAATGGAAATAAAAACAGTTGCACTTATTACATGTGATTTGTATCATATAAATACATATTTAAAATGAATTAGACTTCAGTATGCATCTACTCTTTATAGTCTTTTTTTTTTAAAAAAAGAACTGAGAAAACTAAGGAACCTCAACCATCATTGGTCTAATTACTTAACAAAAGAAAAGACCCAAGGGTGATGTCGGCACATGGTGGAATGGGAAGTCCCCCTGCTCATATTCCCCACAGCAACAATGAAGGGTGAAGGGTGAAGGGGAAGCAAGCTTGGCCCTTTTTCACATGGCAGCAGGAGAGAGAAGAGTGAGGAGTGAAAGGGAAAGAGCCCCTTACAAAACCATCAGATCTGATGAGAATTCACTCGCTATCATGAGAACAACATGGGGGAACTACCCCCATGATCCAATCATCTCCCACCAGGTCTCTCCCTAGGCACGTGGGATCATGAAGATTACAATTCAAGATGATATTTGGGTGGAGACACAAAGCCTAACCACATTACTACTGTTCACACAAGGACCCAGAGGGACTCTCCTGTCTGTGCCTCCAGCATGCTGGTGGGTTCCCATCCCACTGTAGATGCTGAATGGGCCCTGGACAATTATATGTCAACAGATTAGATAACCTGAGAAAATCAACAAATGGGATCTAATTAAACTAATGGGATCTAATTAAACTAAAGAGCTTCTGCACAGCAAAAGAAACTACCATCAGAGTGAACAGGCAACCTACAGAATGGGAGAAAATTTTTGCAATCTACTCATCTGACAAAGGGCTAATATCCAGAATCTACAAAGAACTCAAACAAATTTACAAGAAAAAAACAAACAACCCCATCAAAAAGTGAGCGAAGGACATGAACAGACACTTCTCAAAAGAAGACATTTATGCAGCCAAAAATCACATGAAAAAATGCTCATCATCACTGGCCATCAGAGAAATGCAAATCAAAACCACAATGAGATACCATCTCACACCAGTTAGAATGGCAATCATTAAAAAGTCAGGAAACAACAGGTGCTGGAGAGGATGTGGAGAAATAGGAACATTTTTACACTGTTGGTGGGACTGTAAACTAGTTCAACCATTGTGGAAGACAGTGTGGTGATTCCTCAAGGATCTAGAACTAGAAATAGCATTTGACCCAGCCATCCCATTACTGGGTATATACCCAAAGGACTATAAATCATGCTGCTATAAAGACACATGCACACGTATGTTCAATGTGGCACTATTCACAATAGCAAAGACTTGGAACCAACCCGAATGTCCATCACTGATAGACTGGATTAAGAAAATGTGGCACATATACACCATGAAATACCATGCAGCCATAAAAAATGATGAGTTCATGTCCTTTGTAGGGACATGGATGAAGCTGGAAACCATCATTCTCAGCAAACTATCACAAGGACAAAAAACCAAACACTGCATGTTCTCACTCATAGGTGGGAATTGAACAATGAGAACACCTGGACACAGGAAGGGGAACATCACACACCAGGGCCTGTCATGGGGTTGGGGGAGGGGGGAGGGATAGCATTAGGAGATATGCATAATGTAAATGATGAGTTAATTGGTGCAGCACACCAACATGGCACATGTATACATATGTAACGAACCTGCACGTTGTGCACGTGTACCCTAGAACTTAAAGTATAATAAAAAAAAGAAAAAAAAGAAAAAAAAGAATTAGTGTAAAACACGCTTTTAAAAATGTTAAAAAAAATTCCTAGAAACATACAACCTATCACAATGGAATTAAGAGGAAACAGATCATCTAAATAAACTAATAACAGGTAAGGAGATCAAATCAGTAATAATAATTAACAAAAATAATAAATCTTTCATCAAAGAAAAGCTGAAGACCAGATGTCTTCACTGCTGAATTCTACCAAATAAATAGTGAAAAACTTATACCAATTCTTCTTAAATTCTTCACAAAAAATTGAAGAGTAGGGAACACTTCCAAACTCACCTTTATGAGGCCAGCATTATCCTAATACCAAAGCCAGATGAGAACCTTACAAGAAACAAAAATTACAGGCCAATATCCTTGATGAACATACGTGCAAACATCTTCATCAAAATACTAGTTACCTGAATTCAATAGCACATTAAAAAGATCAGTCACCATGATCAAGTGGGATTCATGCCTTGGATGCAAGCATGGTTCAACACATGCAAAATCAATAAATCTAATTCACCATATTAACAAAATGAAAGACAAAAACCATAACATTGTAGCAATAGATGCAGAAAAACATTTGACAAAATTCATTATCCTTTCATCATCAAAGCTCTCAACAAATTAGGTATGAAGGGAATGTACTTCAACACAATAAAGAACACGTGTGACAAGCCCACGTCTAATATCATACTTAATGATGAAAAGCTGAAAGGTTTTCCCTTAAAATCCAGAACAAGATAAATATGTGCACTCTCACCACATCTATACAACATAGTACTGGAAGTGCTAACAAGAACAATTATGAAAAAGAAATAAAACACATCTAAATAGAAAAGGAAGAAGTGAAATTGTCTCTGTTTGCTGATGACATAAGCTTATATATAGAAAACTCTAAAGACTCAAAAAAACTGTTAGACTTAATAAAGGAATTTAGAAAATTTGCAGGATACAAAACAACACTCAGAAATCAGTAGTATTTTGTTCACTAACAATGAACTATACAAAAAAGAAATTAATAAAACAATCCCATTTACAGTAGTATAAAAATATAAAATACCTAGGAGTAAATTTAACGAAAGAGATGAAAGATCTGTACAATGAAAAATATACATTGATAAAGGAAATTATAGATGACACACAAAAATGGAAAGATATCCTGCATTCATGGATTGGAAGAGTTAATGTTGTTTAGATACCATACTACTTAAAATGATATACAAAATTCTATGAAGTCTCTATCAAATTCCAATGATATTTTTCAAAGAAATAGAAAACACAATCCTAAAATGTATATGGAACCATAAAACACTCTGAATATCCAAACTATCTTGAGCATAAAAAGCAAAGATGGAGGCATCACACTACCTGATTTCAAAACATATTATAAAGCTATAATAATCAAAACAGCAAGGCACAAGCATAAACACAGGTACATTGGCCAATGGAACAGAATAAAAAGCCAGAAATAAACCCACAGATCTATGGTCAATTGATTTCAACAAAAGTGCCAGGAACATATCATGAGGAAATGACAGTCTCTTCCATATATGGTGTTCAGAGAACTGGATATCCACATGTGGGAGAATGAAACCAGAAGCTTATCTCACACCATATGCAAAAATCAAAATGGATTAAGGAGTTAAATGTAAGACCTGAAACTATAAAACTACTAAAAGAAAACATAGGGAAAAGCTCCACGACTTTTATTTGGTTAATGATTTCTTGAATATGACCCAAAAGCACAGGTGACAGAAGAAACAATATCTTTGTGAGGTTTGCATGTTTGCTCTGTGTCTGTCTGCATGGGTTTTTCTAAGCACTCTGGTTTCCTCCCCACAAAGACATGCAGGTAAGGTTAATTGCTGTGTCCAAATGGTCCCAGGCTGAGTGGCTGTGGGCATGTGTGAGCCATCCTGCAGTGGGATGGCATCCTGTCCAGGGCTGTTGCCCAGCTTGAGCCCTGAGCTTCCAGCACAGACTCCAGTCTCCCCAACCCTGAATGAAATAATTGGGCAAATAATTATCTTACTTGTTTTTATTAATCTTTCTTAAATGTATGCAAAGCTCATATTTATTTCAATGTTTAATATTTGAAGTGTTTTGGTCTTTATTTAGAAGTTTGGTGATATTTTGTGACCAAAAATATGCTGTAAGAATCTAACTCTTATTTATAGCTATTAGCCTATGGGAAAATTGGTTTCTTTATACATCTTTTCACTCCAAGTTGCAGTTTCTGAGGACCAATCAATGATGTTAAGTGAGTAAGTACTGTATTGTATATTTCAAAATTGCTAAAAGAGTAGATTTTAAATATTTTCACTACAAAAATGCTAAGCATGTGATGTTACTGACATGCCAAGTAGCTTGATTTAATTATTCCATAATGCAAACATGTATTGAAACATAACATTGTACATTAATTATATATGATTATTATTTGTCAATTTTTAGAAAGGACCCAGAAGGTAGTGGTTATAGATTGAGGTCCTATACTTGGACAAGGACAGAGTCAGAGGGGACACCCACAGGATGCTGGCTTCCAACCTCTTCATCCTATTTATGTTTCCATTATATGATATCTAAAGGTTCCTCCTGGGCTACAGCTTACAGCTTTTGTTTTAAGATTCTAAAACCTGTTTGATTTAGAATTGACAATTTCTAAACTTATTCCTTACCCTCCTTAGACTGAGGAGCCCTCAGGAGAAGATACACAGGAATTTTAGAACTCCATCCACTGGGATCAACACACCCAAGTCTCTTCTCTTTTTCATCCATTTAAAATGAGACCTGAGGAGCTTACAGGTAAGGTGGAGCTAAGAACAGCATCTCAGCCTCTAAATGGGACTTTGCACAAATATGTTTCAGAACAAACAGGTTTTATAAAATTCATAGCTTAAGCCCTTATGCGTTTTATTATTTGCCCTTTCCTGCCCATACTAAATCTTGCTTAAAAATCATAAAACAGTCAGCAAGCTAGTAAGACATATTTGCCTTTATAAAACAAAATATTCTTGTCTTATGAAAAATTATAAACCTTTCAGTTTGCTGTTACAGTGTGTATTGGTCCGTTCTTGCACTGCTGTAAAGAAATACCTGAGAATGGGTAATTTATAAAGAAAAGAGGCTTAACCAGCTCACAGTTCTGTAGTCTACATAGGAAGCATGGCAGCTTCTGCTTCTAGGAAAGCCTCAGGAAACTTCCAATCATGGTGGAAGGCAGAAGGTGAGCGAGACACCTTACATGGTAGGAGCAGGAGCAAGAGAAAGAGAGAGAGTGGGGAGGTGCCACACAGTTTTAAATGACCAGATATCAGGAGAACCCACTCACTGTCAGAAGCACAGCACCAAGGGAGATTTTGCTAACCCATTCATGAGAATCTGCCCCATGATCTAATCCCACCAGGCCCCACCTCCAACACTGGGGAATACATTTCCACATGAGGTTTGGGTGGGGACACAGATCCAAACCAAATCAGTGTGTGATAGCTTTTGTAACAGAAACAATCTGAGGCTCAGGCAGTCGGCTGACTTCTTGGGTTCCATTTCATTCTCCTGGATGTCATGTATTTATCCCAATGATTGTGGTATGAATGGCTTAGTGGGTCAAAATATTTTGTCACCAAGAATAACACATGTGTTTCTACATGTTCTCAAGCTGCCAGAATGGGTTATCAAGTCTGCATTTAGTTAAGAATTACTAGTGATATGGTTTGGTTGTACTCTTGCCCAAATCTCATCTTGAATTGTAGCTCCCATAATTCCCACGTGTCATGGGAGGGACCTGGTGGGAGGTAATTGAATCATGGGGGTGGGTTTTTTCCATGCTGTTCTCATGGTAGTGAATAAGAATCACGAGATCTGATGGTTTTATAAAGGGCAGTTTCCCTGCACACATGCTCTTCCCTGCCGCCATGTAAGACATGCCTTTGCTCCTCCTTTGCCTTCTGACATGATTGTGAGGCCTCCCCAGTCATGTAGAACTGTGAGTCCATTAAACCTCTTTTTCTTTATAAATTACCCAGTCTCAGGTTTTTCTACACAGTAGTATGAAAATGGACTAATACAAGTAGAGACCCTATCCTGTCCTCAGAGTAGGAGACATTTCCATCTTATGACCTGAATTCATCCTTAAACCAAAGCTAGAACAGCCAATCTTCATCACATTCAATGGCAGATGGGCTAGGAAGTGTGTAATGAAGTTCAGTGGCTCTATTTTTCTAAAAACCCATTTAATTCAAATACGCTAATAGACAAATGTCATTTCATGCACTATTTCCCTCTTTGTCAAGAGAGATACATGCCCAGATCTCTACTTTGTTCCCAAATTAACCCCAAACCAAAGAAACATGTTGTAAGAAAGCCACAAGCACACACTTTAAAAGGAATTCACAGTTAGAGCACGAACTGTTAAAACATTCTGCTATATTTTACAAATGGCTATTTACCTATCCATCTATCTGTATCTCTGTAATCTATCTATATTTCAGCCCCTCTATGACTGCAATAAATCATCTATATATCTACAGTCAGATGTTACTTAATGATGGGGATACATTCTGAGAGCTGTGTCATTAGGTGATTTTGTCATTGTGTTTACATCGTAGGGTGCACTTACAGAAACCTAGATGATACAGGCTACAACACACCTAGGCTACATGGTATAGCCTATTGGTCCTAGGCTACAAACCAGTACAGCATGCGACTATGCTGAATACTTACACAACTGTAACACAATCGTATTTGTGTATCTAAATACACAAAACCAAGTATCTGTGTATCTAAGCACATCTAAACTTAGAAAAGTGAAAGTAAAAATAGGGTATAAAAGTTAAAAAATGACACACCTGTGCAGGAAACTCACCATGAATAGAGCCTTCAGGACTGGAAGTTGTTCTGGGTGAAGCCATGAGTGAGGAGTGAGTGAATGTGAAGGTCCAGGACATTACTGTTTCCTTTTATATGATTGGCAGTGCAGTAGGTTTGTCTACGTCAGCATCACCACAAACACGTGAGTCATATCTTTCACTGTGAGGTTACGATGGTTGATGTCACCAGGCAGTAGGGATTTTCAGCTCCTTTACAATCTAATGGGACCACCATGGCATATGTGGTCTGTCCTTGACCAAAACATTATTATGCAGAATATTATCTATCTGTCTGTCTGTCTATCTACCTATCCATCCATCCATCCACTTTATCTATCATCTATCTATCCACCCATATTCACCTACCTGTCTTTCCATTTCTCTAGCAATACACACATCTTTTACTAGGTTTGTCTCTCTTTACCAAAGATGGGCACAAATCTGAAAATCAAGCTTACTGTCCCTGTTCCTGCAATGGGATCATAAACATCCTTCCGCAAACATGAACATCCTTTGTGAGAGGCTGTACAGCTAATACCAATTAATATAGAAAACCTAATTCTAACGCTTCATGAAAAGCAATGTTTGCTAGACTTTTCCTTCCATTTAAGGACCAGTAAAGGGAATTTCAGGTTGTACTGTCTGCCCATCATACATACTATAGCCACACACATTCATACAGACCGCACACACCACGGCCACACACATTCACACAGACCACACACACTATAGCCACACACATTCACACAGATGCACACACATTGTGGGAAGTACAGTGCTCAATTAAAAAAAATTCCTTTGCTGACAGAAGGTTTGCTATTTCTACACATCTGTCTAAAGAACAGAAAAAGGAAATTCACCAACTCATTACTTGTGGGCCTTTCCACAGTAATTAAATAGCACAATTAGCCAAGCATACATTTTTCTACTCGAAAAGCTACAGAAACATCAACTTTTATAGTTACATCTTTGAAATTATTTAATTAACCAAACTCACAAGCTAGTTAGCATTTATTTAACATAGGTGCTGGTCTAACCCTCTCATTTTATTACTGAAGAAAAAGAGGCCCACAGAGTTTAAGTGGCATTTCTAAAAACATCTGAGACTTGGACAAGAAGTCAGTCTTTATTTCCAGTCTAATTCTGTTAGCATTTAAAACTAAAAATAGAATTTCTTTTACTAATGACTGGTTCATGAGAAGTAACCATGCCACCTTGCCCTAGATAGAACTATTCTTAGTAATAAATTCACTGTTCTGATACCTGACTTCTCATTTTCTCTTTATCTTTAACTTGTTTATTCCAAATGCTAAATCTACCAGAAGACAGCACGCACACTTGCTAATGTCACAGTCAAGCGCTCTGGAGTAACCAGCGGCCTGTAGGAACTGGCAAAAGTGCACGGGGTTCATCAAAGTTTCCCATCTCAGACAATGGTCACACACCTTAATTTTTCCGTTCCGGCTTTGTACCTTGAGATGCGAGCCATGGACAGAGGCACGGACAAGGTGTCCAGCCAGCGCTTCTCATACCTCGGGTCCTTAGCTATGGGCGAGGAAGGTGACGATGGGGCCTGTACAGAAGAAAGGAGAATGAAGCGTCACAGAGGCAGAGGAGGCTGCATGCGGGGAGAGGCATCTGCAGGCACCTGGAACACAGAACTCAAGTCCAACACATTTCAACTGATAAAAAAGCAAGTGAGGTTGTTTCTGAAAGATCTGGAAAGAAAGAAGTGCTCTTCTACCCGGATTTAAGACATTTTCTCCCGCTGTTTTCCAACTGCAAATTGCACGAAAGAGAAGAAGCTGAAGGGAAGGAGAAGGAGAAGAGGGGCCTAAATCTGGAGGGAAAGTTGTAGACACAGCACTGGGCTCAGTGCATAGAGACCGTGAGAAAGACGCAAAACCAAAACAACCTGAAATGTCCACTCAGCGAGTTTAGGTCGAGAGACACACGATAGAATGGCTGATGACATTCCAACGGGCGTCCAGGTCATGGGTCTGCCTTGTTATCGGTAGCAACGACTCTGTGCTGTGGTCAGAGCCGGGCCCAGATGGAAAAGTGGTGAGGCCTCGTCGGGTCTGCGGCTCTCGACAGGAAGCCCGTCTGGGAAGGTGAAGGAGCCATGCAACCACCACAGCACCACGCAGCAGCCCCGCAAGAGTCCAACAACGAAAGGGTCGGAGGTAGGTTCTGGGCCACAGGATCCACCCACCTCCCATTCCACGTTCTCAAAGAGGAGCCTGAGCTCTCTGAGCCATCTTGATCTCAGAGCCGGGCTCGCTGGGAATGAACCAGGTGCTGCCGCCCCAGCGACCGGCAAGAACGCGCCTCACAGGTGTGCCCCACACTCATGGACGTGCCTCACACAGATGTGCCTCACACTCACAGGTGTGCCCCACACTCATGGGCGTGCCTCACACTCACAGGTGTGCCCCACACTCACAGGTGTAACCCGCGCTCACAGGCAAGCCCCACACTCACAAGGCATTTCTGGTGTTTTAATTTGCTTCAGTGTCCACGGGAAGCACCAGCCCTGAGCTCCGGGCTCTGTGGACCATAGGGTCCAGGGACTGTTGCACCTGGAATCCGAGCATCTGTCTGCAAGAAGACTTTCTGTAAGCAGGGGCGCCGTGAGAAAACAGACCTGGGCTTTCTGGAGGCTCAGAAGGGTGGCATGAAGTGTCTTTCATACTTGCTTGTTCGTAAGTGTTAAGCTGCTGGATGTTCACTATGTATTAGAACGTTATTTGAGACTTCATTCCTTATAAATGCATACCTTACACATTGGTTAATCCACCACTTAAAGAGCCAACCCTATCCACCCCAAGTCTCCTCTGCAGTCAGCTTTACCTGCCCAAAAATAATGTCCCTAACAGTTCTGTGCCGCTGAACTGGCTCTGGTTGGTTTGCGGTGAGAGGAGACGGGGGGCGGTTCCCCAGGGTTTCTCATGAGATCCCTGGAACCTTGGAGGCTTCGCTTCCACGTGGATGAGGTTTCCATACGACTCTCTACACAATGCTTACGCTTAACAGAAAGAGTGTGTGATTTATTTTTCGTCTGTGCTAATATATAAGCCCCCTTCTCATTCTCCTCCACCTCAAATCATCTTTGCATCCCTGCCCTAGGATTTTAGATGAAAGGCCTCTCCCTCAACGCAGGTGGGATGGGGGAATGGACACTGAGGGAGGTTGGAGCGTCATACAGAAGAGGCGGCATCGCCATCTACAGATGTGTCTGAAGGCAGAAAAAAAACTCACATAGCCAGAGGTTGGGTTTGGGTTATCATCCTAACATTGTTTCTCTATATTTATTAATTCCATGGCCAATAGCTCAATAGCAAAAGTGGCAATATTGGAACATTTGAACTCTGAGCTGAATTTTACAGATATTCATTCATGGTTACCCTTTTCTGTTGGGCTCTAACTTCTGGTAAGAGATTCACCTTTGGTGCATGCACGAGAATGACACTGAAATACCTTCTGATCACCTGATGTGTATTTCATATTAGCTTTGCTGAAATACCATTTGTCTACATAGACTACTGCAACCTGTGTAGGAATTCATTATAAATGACTGCATACTGTGGCAAGGTTTTAATTATCCCTATACATTTAATTTTAACTGTGGTATTTGCATGCACAATAATAAATCTGTGCCATAGGAGTTCATCCTAGTAATGCTGCTGTGTGTTTAGCCACATACTCTGTACCCCTTGTTGCTGATTCAAAGGTTTGCTACAGTGTGCTATCTGTTTGCAGAAGTACTAGAATTATACTGCAAAACCACCACTTAAAATTGCATAGAGGATTCTACTATACAATGCACAATATTTAAATAAACAAAATAGTATGCATCCTTTCATAAAATCAGTTGAAGATTACTTTTGAAAAGTGTAGGATCAAAAGCAATTCCCCACTGAGAAAACCCATTTTTTCTTTATAAAATCAGGCTGCATGCAGAGCTTGTAGGTGCAGCTTTGGCTCCAGACTGTGGACTTTCATAGGACGCTTTTCACTTGGAGGCCACTGATAAACCCTGAATTTCATGTCCCACTGAATGTACTTTCCTCTGGAAAAGTATTTTGCACAATCTGGAGAAAATATTTTCTATAACCTAGCAGCTAGGGGAGAAGTCAGGTCTCTGTGAGCTAATGCTTAGCTCAGCGGGGTCAAATGCTCCCATCTACTGAGGGCCAAGGAGAAGGAACATGCCAGTGTTACCCCTCTGCAGCTCCTTCCTCTCCAGCTGCCCCAGCACACCCAGCTCTTTGCTCTCTGCAGTCACAAGCTGGCACTGACATTGGAGGAAATGCCTCCAGCATCCTCTCCTTAGGAGAAGAGTATGTGCAGGGTGCCCGGAAAGGCCTTCTGGTCCTGTGCCCACCTTCCACACAGGCATCTCCAAAGTCAGCTCAAGGTAGGTGCTGCTCATTTGAGCAAACCCCACTCTGAGGGAGTTCATGTGCTGCAGAAAGCAGAGCCTCGTGATTCTCATCGTGGTCCCAAATCTTACATCAACTCAATAGCTTGCAGATATAATGAGGCATGTTCCTACCAGCTGATCACAAACCCTATAGCTTGTACCTGTCAGCTTTTTGTAATCTTGCTGCTTCCAACAGGAATGCAGAGCTCAGCATTTCCAGGGTTGCAAAAGCATCTGCATCTATCCATGGCAGTGGAAACCAATTTTAGATGAGGAACAAAACAGAACATGTTTTCCTCTGTTTAATTTATGATGTAGTCAAAAGTTGCCAAAGAACTGACCCCCAAAAGCCATCCTGTAGCATTTATATGTGACTGACCAACCAACTCACACGGCATTTACTATGAGATGCCACAGTTATTATAAGATTGTCAATCAAAAAAATTAGAGAAAAACATTTCCCAATACACTGAATGTATACAAGAATTAGAAGAATGGATTATAACCAAAAACGCAAGCCACACGTGTTTCGAAGAATGGAGGGCGAGGGGGAGCCTGTACTGGCAGCGATGTTCACATGAGCTGCCTGGAGATGAAGGCCATCAGGTTCAGAGACTCAAAGCAAGAATTGGCATCAGGTCACTGGGCAGGTGCTCTTTCTAAAGCATTGTATTCAGATTGTTGCAGTCCCCAAGAAGGAACTTGTGAGGTTATTTTAGAAGTTTTCAAGACAGTCTTCATCTCAGACATGCAAGCATAAGCTCCCCGACTCTGCATTCTCCCAGCTCTGGTTCTTTGGGGTTGACAAAAAGTGATTTCGTCCTGAGATCTGCAACACTCACAAGATAAACATTCTGAATGGAGGTGGATCTCTAGAGGGCACTGTGCCCAGATGGGTGCATTTTGAAAACTCGAGAAAAATTGAGTACTTTTAACATACTCTTTATAAAGTTACTGGAAATGAATAAAAGTAGATGAAAGCAAAAGCCTCCAAATATTTCAACCACTTACAAGGTTCCCAGTTTAATATAAACTGTGTATCATCCCAGCATTTTTGCCTCCTCAAGGCATGTATGTATGGACACAAAGTAGTGTTCGGAGCACACTCTTAAGTCTACGTTCTCTGATTATCATAGAAATACAACCACATTCTAGAAAAGATGGGAAATATAAAAAGGTTAAAAAAAACCTTATCACCCATTTTGTATATTTCTCATGGTCTTTTTCTATTTGGTTTTTAAAAGTTAAGATCATACTGCACATAATAATTTTTAAAGACATACAAGAAAATAATATTTTTAGATCACAGATAAT
>NT_187525.1:0-136240 GCF_000001405.40 Homo sapiens | reverse complement strand
GATCCCTATTTTTTTTTCTTTGTAACAAGATTCTCATCTTATAAATTTTTCCCATTGATTTTGAAAACCCTCAACTATTTAGCTATTCCTGTTAGAATTGATATCAGGATTCCGTTACTCAGAGCTTCATTCCTGCAGCATTTTGAAAGAACATTCATGACAAAAAGCAATGGGTCAATACCTTTTTATTGTTTTGGGGAAAAGTGTTTCTTCATGAAGGTCCATGGCTCTCTCAGGATCCCTTAAAGGTGGCGTTTTGGGCGATTTTTCCTCTTGTTGGCACATTTCTAAGCCAGAGCAGCTGGAGGCAGCACAGTCCGTCCGGCTCCCGGTGAGGGAATAAACAGCCTGACTCAGGTGTAGGCCACAGGGGCAGTGAAATCACAGCCAGTGTAGACGGTGCGCTTAAAGATGTTATGTTGACTGTGCCTGTGCTGTGAGCGTTGGATTTTTAAATCCAGATAAAATTGAGTTTTTTTTTCTCTCCCAAATGTATGGGAATTCGATCCAACTCACAGTGGCAGTGGAAGGATCTCTTTTCAAATGCTTCTGTCTGTTTCACGGGAAGATATTTAAGTGGGAGATGACAGGCTCGTGGGCGCTTTGAGAGCTACACACTCTCCCATTTGGTGTTGTTGAGATAATCCTTTGATAGTGGAGAAATATGCAAACATCTTCCTTTCTGTTTGGCAGACTTTGATAAGTCTAAAAACTGCACATGTATTTATTATTTTTAGGAGAAAAATATGCACCAACCACTTTAAAAATTAATACTTTATTCAGTGTATTTGCCTTTGTGCTAACATTGAGTTTAATATAAATACACATATATGCAAAGAAGATAAAGGATTAATTTTAGCTTTTGGTAAATATATTCAGCATTAATGTCATCCCTTTTTTTTTGTCTGGTTGAGAAAACTGTATTGCTAAAGGGTAAACCACACCATACCTGCCAAGCTGCTGGTTTTTCTGTTCCACGCTTTCCACCATTGGTTCTAAATAAGTCAATTTCCAGAAGGAATTAGCCAGTAATACTAATAGAGGGGACCAGAAATTACACTTCTGTGTATAAAATACCTGTTTTAAGAATGACAGAGCACTTTGGCTTGAGTTTTAACGATTTAGTGGCAGCTGTTACTTAGCTGTACTGTTCCTATGTTTGAAGCGATAAACGCAGATATCACAGTGCGGAGCCTGCGGTGAGGCACATTTTAGGAAACAAATTCTCAGCCTTCATCTAAAAGCCAGAGTCCTGCAGGGTGAATCATGTCCCCAAATCCATAGGCTGAAGTCTTAATCCCTAGTGTCTCAGAATGGGGCTCCAGTTAGGGACGGGGCCTAGAAAGAGGGGATTAAGGTAATAGGAAGTTATGAGGGTGGGCCCCAATCCCACAGGATGGTGTCCTTATGAGACGAGGAGATCAGGACACAGACACACACAGAGGAAGGACCCTGTGAGGCCCCGGGGGATGTCGGTGTCTATAAGCCGAGGAGGGAGACCTCAGGATGTGAGGCCCTGGGGGATGTCGGTGTCTACAGGCTGAGGACGGAGGCCTCAGGAGGAAGCAGCCCTGCCTGCACCTGGATCTGGGACTTCCAGCCCTGGGATGTGAGAGGATGAATTTCTGGGGTGCTTTGTCATGGCAGCCTTCACACACACACACACACAGACACACACACAGAGCTGCAAATCACAAGCTGCATATCTTGGCAAAATTTTCCCTTAAGAAAGGACAACCACACCTCAAACCCCTCAACAGCAGGGAGCACAATTTGTTATTTTTGTTGTCTCCACCCCTCTTTACTGTATCCTCACACTCAAAGCATTAAACATTGGATTTCTGGAAGGAGATGAGGAAAGTGTAACCTCAGGGGGAGACCCAGAGTCTTCTGATAACAGTGCCATAAATGACATAGGGCGTACATTTAAAATTGAATTTTCAACCTGAAGCTTGAATACGTGGTCTCAATGCCAGCAGCAAAATGAAATGTCACTTCTGGGGCCTGGTTTGCCTCCCTAAACGTCAGCTGCAAGGGAGTGTTTTACTTCACGCATTAGAGTGTTCCGGTTTACAGGGGGCCGTTGTTTTATACTGAGTTCCTGTCACTAGGCCCCACCTGGGCAGACTAGGCAGATTGAAGTCACCTGTGCCAGGTGCCAGGTCACCAAACTGAGCTTAAAAACAGGTCAACTTTCCAAAAACAGGAGATTCACAGCCACCCATCAGGAGGGGCCCAGCCACCTCGAGCTGGCAGGATGAGAACATCCCTGGGCTTTAGCCCGCAAGAGGAAAGGAACATTGTATTAGTCTGTCCTGGGCTAATAAAGCAGCCTCAAGTCTGAGTAATTTATAAAGGAAAAAGGTTTAATGGACTCACAGTTCTGCATGGCTGGGGAGGCCTCACAATCATGGTGGAAGAGGAAGGAAGAGCAAAGCCATGTCTTATGTGGCGGCAGGCAAGAGAGTGTGTGCAGGGGAACTACCCTTTATAAAACCATCAGATCTCGTGAGACTTATCCGCTACGATGAGTACAGTGTGAGGGAATCCTGCCTTCATGATTCCATCACCTCCTACCAGGTCCCTCTCACAATATGTGGGGATTTTTACAATTTGAGGTGAGATTTGGGTGGGACACAGCTAAACCATGTCAAACATGAATGCTACTGATGTTATCTGCTGTGGTCTGAATGTGCCCCCCACATCCTTGTGTTGAAACTTAAGCACCAACGTGATGGCATTAAGGGGGCTCTTCACAGGGGATCAAGTCCTGCCAGTGGGTGAAGCCCTTGTGAGTGTGATTAGTGATTTCATAGGAGAGGCTGAAGCCAGCGGCCCTGGCCATTCCTGTCTTCCTCCATGTGAGACACAGCTCCAGGCGCCCTCCTGAAAACAGAGCCCAGGCCCTCCTCAGACACTGACCCTGCAGGTGCCTCGATCTTGGGCTTCACAGCCTCAGTACTAGGAGAGATCAATCTCTGTCGTTGGCGACTGTCCATCCTTGGCATTTGTTACAGCAGCACAAATGGATGAACCCGATTTCCTGCCAGCTTGCAGCAGGTCACCTCCTCCTTCCCGCCCAAGCTGCCTGCAGAAACAGACCATGGGCATTGCCTGGGGAAGCCCTATCTGTGCTGTGGATGGCACACTGTGGGTGGTACGCTTGGATGGTACACTTGGATAGTATGCTGTGGGTGGTATGCTGTGGATGGTATACTGTGGATGGTATGCTTGGATGGTATGCTGTGGGTGATATGCTGTGGATGGTATGCTTGGATGGTATGCTGTGGGTGATATGCTGTGGATGATATGCTTGGATAGTAAGCTGTGGGTGGTATGGGTGGTACGCTGTGAATGGTATACTTGGATGGTTCGTTGCCAGTCCATGCATCATGAATAGCAGCCAATTCGATCTTTAAAACTCAGTTTTTTGAAATGTTCTTGGACAAGAGTCCTTAACTCTCCTCAGGCTGGGGGGAGGTCCTGCTGCTCCTCTGAGGCCCAAGGACGAGGTGGTGGTGAGGGCTGAGTCCACACGGCCGTGCCGTGTGCAGTGTGTGCTACGTGTGAGCCTCTGCAGAGAGAAACACAAGCACACTGAACTTAGACTTGCCTGAGCATTCCTTCTTTTCCTTGACCTGTTAGCTTTTGCAGGAGAGAAAAATTTTAATTCAATAAATCTAGTAAATTGTAGCCCAAGGATAGGATAGAAGAGCAAAGGTCACAGAAAATCAGTGCCAGAGAGAAGAGAAGAGCCTGGGGCCCCAGGGTGAGGGGCACAGGGCTGGGCAGGGAGGAGAGCAGGAAGTTCCTGGGGGAGGAGAAATGCAGCCTTATCTGGATGCAATTCCACAGTGATTTTAAAAGTTGTATATTAGAATGCTAAAAAGCTAAGCACTATTATAAAATGTATATATTTGACTTAGAAAAAAAGCAACAGCTTTATTGCTGTGACATGCTATTAATTTAAATTGCTTAAATGCACTTCTCATGTATTAGTTATAAAGCTAGACTAAATTGCAATCTTTAATTTTTTGCTGATGTTTTTATTGCTTGGTGATGTATGGAAAATTACGTACCTTCAAGAGTTTTAATTCGTCTTTTTTCTTTTGTCAGCCTCTGGAGACAGGAAGCAAAAAGTAGCAATAAAATGAGATTCTGTCAGTATGTTATAATGATAAACCCAAAGCTTACCACTAGCTCATTTACAATTTTGTAGCAAGCTTACAAAAAAAGAATTAAAAATTTTACATCAATTTGTAATAGACTGTATATTCATTGATATTTCTGAAGTGTTTTATCTATCCTATAGCACCTTCAAGAGTACACTTTTTAAAACAAGTTTAGAATAGTTTTAGATTTACTGAAAAGTTGCACAGATTGGAAAGCGTGTTTCCGTGTCCCACACCCACATTCTCCTGTTAACACCTGACGTTAGTGTAGTGCTTGTGTGACACAGCTGATGACCCAGTTTGGAGCCAAGTTGTACAGACGTGGGGATAACCAGGGACACTGATCCTGGGAGTGGCATCTGAAGAGGGGCAACCTTGTGGGGCTGAGTCTTTAGCCCAGGGGCCTGGGCTAACCCCAGGTAGAAAGCATCAGACTTGAGTTAAGTTGTAGGACACCCAGCTGGTATTTAGGGAGATGGAGAGTGGTTGGTGTGGAAACCCCTCAGCCCCCACCCTGACCTAGTGTCCCACGTGAAGTTTTGAGAGGGGCCGGACAGTCAGGGAGGACCGTTTTCCTCCTTCTGTGACCAAAGGACCAAAGGAAGACACTGTATCACACGAAATAGTTAACCATGCTTCCATTCATTGATCTAATGAAGAAAGTATATTTTGTGAGATTGCAAAACAAAACCCAAGTGTGTGTTCCACACAGGAAATCCTCAGGAAATGAGACCCAGGAAGTGAACGCAAAAGGCGGAGCCACACGATACCAGGCAGACAAGAAGGCAGGTTGGTGACTCAGCATCGGGTCTCCAGGCACAAAGAAGGAGGAATGATGATAGAACACTGCCAGGGATCAATTACAAAATAAATAATCAATATTCATAGACAAGGAATGCGGCGTGGTGAGGTATGAAGACGGTTCCTTTGTTCCTTGTCCGGCCTTTACCATTCCTTCCTTCTGCTAAGTGGGGGCTTAGTGTGTTCTGGCTTCCCCGGGTTTCGTGAGGTGTAACGTGAGGCTGTTTATTTGGCGTCTTTCTTCTTTTTTGATGTAGGTGTTTATTGCCAAAAACTTCCTTCTTAGAACTGCTTTGCTGTGTCCCATAGATTTTAATATGTTGTGTTTCCATTTTCATTTGTCTCAAGATGTATTTAAATGTCCTCTATAATGTTTTCATGGACCCACTGGTGATTCAGAAGTAAGGTGTTTAATTTCCCCGCCTTTGCGGATCTTCTGAAATCCCTTCCGTTATTGATTCTAGCTTCGTACCACTGTGGCTGGGAATGGTATTTGATGTAATTCTGGTCTCTTTAAATCAGGCAGGACTTGTTTTGTGCCTCAGTGTACAGTCTATCCTGGAGAATGCTCTGGGACACTAGAGAAGAGCATGTTTCTGGCTGCTGCTGGATGGGATGGTCTCAATGGGCCAGTGAGCCCAGGTGCCTGACACGTAGTTTAAGGCCAATCCTTCTTCACTGATTTTCCACCTGGATGGTCTGCCCCCTGCTGGCGGTGGGCCCCTGAGGCCTCTCAATATTGTTACTTAATTGACTTGCTGCCTGCTTCTCCCTTCAGATTTAGTAACATTTGCTTATATACTTAGATGCTCTGACGCTGGTAAAGATGTATTTACAATTGTTACATGCTCTTGATGAAGCCACCCATTCAACCTCACATCATGACTCTCTTGATCTCTTTTTACAGGTTTGACTTAACGTCCATTTAATCTGACAGGAGTGTGGCCACCGTTGCTCCCATTTGCTTTCTGTTTCTAGGGAATGTATTTTTTCATCCTTTCTCTTCCAGCCTATGTGTGTCCTAATGGGCATAGTGAGGGAGAGGGAGAGAGGGAGAGAGAGAGAGAGGTGAGAGAGAGAGAGAGAACCCTATCCCTTTTTTTTTTAATCAGAAACCCACTCCTGCGATGAAGGATGAATCTTCCTGAGGGCAGAGCTCTTACCGCCCACTCGCCCCTCTAAGTTCCCACCTCCCAAGGCCGTGTCTCTGGGGATGAAGTTTCCAACACACAAACATTGGGGGCACCTTCAAGCCACGGTGTCCTGTAAACCAGCGTTCCAGCATTTGCCAAATGGTGTTTCTTTTACCAGGAGATAAGGACTCTGATCAGGTCCTTTGGAAAGAGCAAGTGAGTCTTTGATTCTCTCCTGGATATTCATCATATGTGTTAGGAACTTAAAGAATCCCTGTAATCCCAGAGTTTAACAAAGACACACATGTGTTTTCAGCAACACCGAGTCTTACACGAGTATCTCCGAGATGAATGTGATTGTGCCTGTCTGTGAAGCTCGTGGCAACCACCTTCCCCAGGGAAACGCTTCTGTGGCCTGCAGGAGCCCTTAGGTCTGGCCGTGGTGTGAGCACAGGGTTTGTTCTGGGAGATCCATCCAGCAGCAGTTTGTGTGGGATGGATTAGAAGAGCAGGAATCAGGGGTGGACGACCGGCTGGCCGGGCATGGCTCCAGCTCCGGGGAGTGACGGCCAGAGGCTGAGGCGGGTGGGCCACCCCCACCATGGGGAAGCAGGCAGACCAAGGAAGGAACTCAGATGCTGACAGGAGAGAGAGAAGAGAAGGGTGAAGGTGGTGGGAGGGAGGTCCTACAGGACTGGTCTGTCCCTTGCTCTTTCCAAAGACGATGTTGGGATTCCCCCTCCACTGCACATTCCCTTTCGGTACGTAGGAAGGTGCCTCACGGGCATCCATGTCTCACGGTGTTGGAGAGCTTCAAGACTTTTTGAAAAGCCTCTGCCCAAACTCTCGGTTCAGCAGCTACCAGGTATTTACCTTGGAGAGGTAAGTGAAGCTCTCCCTGGCTTGGTTTTCTCATCTGTGAAACAAAACTGCTCTTTCCTGAGAGGACTGAATAAAATCGTGTGCTCAGTTGTGATGCTGGCTTCGTGAGAGGTAGCCTGTCAGGCAGTGCCAGTTCTGTTTGAGAAGAGCCTCTGGTGTCCTTTGTAAAATAGATAAAATTCTAAGTCCTTCAACCGACTGAATGGGCCCCCTCTTTGCCACGGGGATCCCCCCCTAAAAATTCAAAAAACCGGTTCAGCCCATGATGGCAGGAAGTGGGGTTGGACAGACCACATTATACCCTCCTCCCTGTGGAGTTCAGGACCAGCTGACCAGCATTAGCGCTAAAGCAGACATCAAAACACTATCCAAACAGACTCCTTATAGTAATCAGATTCCCCACTCCAACCTGGCCCTGGCATAGCATCACATGAAAAATAGCAGGTCCTGAAGGAAATCAAAATATATTAACCCCAACTATATCTCCCTTACATATTCTGAAATGGCCCTGCAAAGGCGTCTTTTGCTGGGAATATCTGCATTCTGTGGAGAATCCCTTACTAGGCCCTTTTCTGATCCAGGAGAGATTTAACTAAGGCCTGACATCTTTTAAGGTCCTATAGGAAGCATTTGCCATCGATTCTCTCTGAAGCTGCTGCCTGAAGGCTTCATCTCCATACTGTGAATCTTGGTTTCCACAAGGCCCTTATCTTTCTGCTGGAGCATTTCTTTCTGCTGACTTCACTCTTTAGGCAAAGCTGAAGTCTGTCAACCAATCGTCACTCCAAAAATCTTTGAATCCACCTGTGATCTGTGAGCCCTTGCTTTGAGATGTCCACCTTTCTGGGCTGAACCAGTGTAAACCTGTAACTTCTGCCTCCCTAAAATGTATACGACCAAGCTGTAGCCCGAACACCTTGAGCACAGGATCTGAGGACACCTCAGTGCTGCATTACGGGTCATGGCCACTCATATTTGGCTAAGAACCTCTGTGACAATTTTATTGTTCGGCTTTTATCATCAACACCTTCCAGGCAGAAGCCACTGTGGTCCCCATGGCCACCCTCACCTGGGCCTCCCGCCACCATGAACTTTCTTAGTTGAGCTGAATTAACAATGAGCAAGGAATAGATTAGTCACTGGTACAATAGATTGTTTTCACCCCTTACCAAAATGTGTTAGCTGAATGTCTAACACATTAGCCACCGGCCTCTGCCCAGGGCCCCAGGCTGGCAGCTGGGCTGGATGTTTTTGACCTCTTATCTGGAGGTGCAGGTGCACCTCCAGCAGCAGGGTGCGTCGCACACGGGCCTGACACCAAGCCTGCCACATCCACGGTGCCATCGACCCATGAACTGGGCAGGCTGCTCCTACACACACACACGCACACACATGTACACACATGCACACACAGGCACACATGCACACACAGGTGTACACATGCACTCACACGCACACATGCACATGTACACTCCTCCCAACCAAACCCCCTTGCCCCTACACACACACACTCACACACACACACATGCACATACATATTATTAGTATTTTAATATATGACTCAACTGTGTAATAAACCATGATGCTTAGGAGCCAAAAAGTAATTGATGTGTCTTTCCCAGAGAAGTCACGTTGGAAAAGTGATCAGGAGAGAGGCATCTGAGCTGTGCATTGACAGACCTTTGGGGATGTCAGACAGACATTTAGGAGGCTCTTCCAGGCAAAGGAGAGATACAGGAGCACATTAAAGATGTCCCTTCTGTTGTCAATGGGGAAGAACGTAGAGTCCTCATTGGTAGGAAGTGGTGAATGACGGTGCCTACGTTCAGAAACTGTGCATGAGGGCAGAGTCTGGGTGGAATGAGGCTGGAGAGGCTGGACGCTGCCCAGCATGAGGCCAGACCCGTTTGAGACACACCCTGCTACTGGAGGTGCACCTGCACCTCCAGACAAGAGGTCACAATTGGGCCTCTTGGACCAATGTTCTCAAATATGGTAGATCCGCCTAGCCACAGTGGCCCAGTGTGCATCCTCCTCCAGGCAGCACAACTCAGGGGCACTTGCTGCCTGGCAGGCAGGGGGCTTCACATCTGACCCTTCACCCCTCACACTGGCCCCCACCCCTTACTGAGGTTCCCTGTGTGGACATGAGCTCCCAGGGCTGTGTCCATTTCTCTCCTCCATCTCTCTCAACCATGAACCTGTGTTATCATCTATGTTAGGGGCCAAATTCACCTTCTTCCCCCATTCGTAGGTTAAAGTCATAGCCTTCAGCATTTCAGAAGTGACTGTCTTGGAGACAGGGAATTTAAGGAGGTAATCGAGTTGAAATGAGGTCACAGACTAGACCCTGATCCAATATGACTGGTGTCCTTATAAGAAGAGGAGATGAGGGCACAGTTGCACCTAGAGGGATGATCACCTGAGGACACAGAGAGAAGACAGCAGCTGCAAGCCAAGGAGAGAGGCCTCAGGAGGAACCAGCCCTGCCCAAACCTTGATCTTCGGCTTCTGGCCTCCAGAACTGGGAGAGGATAAATCCATGTCATATAAGTCACCTTGTCTGTGGGTTTCTGTTATGGAAGCCTGAGCCAACTATTACAAGGAATATTTGTTGAGTCAGCCAATGACTCTTCACAGCAGTCAGAATCTGGACAGAAAGCAGCCCTCACAAGCCCAAGCGAGCTGCACTAAAATGTCCTAGCTGCTCATAGTGTGTTCAGTAAAGTCAGAGGGCTCTCAGAGATCCTGTGCTATCTAACAGGCACCCCATTTATTTCCTGGAGACGCCTCTCAGCCATCCAGCAGCTTCTGCGGCCATAGCCTGTGGATACTTCTCCACACTGACAACGCCCATTCTGTTCAGGAAGGTTTGTCCACCTTGGCTGGAATTAGGTGACCCATGGAAACATCCCACTGCCCATGTTTCTGTGCACCTGCGGACACTCGTGGGAAATGCCCCATAGCCTGTGTTTTTATTCCCCTTGTGAACACTCGTGGGAAATGCCCCATAGCCTGTGTTTTTATTCCCCTTGTGAACACTCGTGGGAAATGTCTCATGGCCCGTGTTTCTGTGCACCTGTGAACACTCGTGGGAAACACCCAACGGCCCGTGTCTCTGTGCACCTGTGAACACTCAAGGGAAATGTCCCATGACCTGTGTTTCTGTGCACCTGCGGACACTCGTGGGAAATGTCCCACAGCCTGTGTTTTTATTCCCCTTGTGAACACTCGTGGGAAATGTCCCATGGCCCGTGTTTCTGTGCACCTGTGAACACTCGTGGGAAATGTCCCATGACCTGTGTTTCTGTGCACCTGCAGACACTCGTGGGAAATGTCCCACAGCCTGTGTTTTTATTCCACTTGTGAACACTCGTGGGAAATGTCCCACGGCCCGTGTTTCTGTGCACCTGTGAACACTCGTGGGAAATGACCCATGACCTGTGTTTCTGTGCACCTGCAGACACTCGTGGGAAATGTCCCACAGCCTGTGTTTTTATTCCCCTTGTGAACACTCGTGGGAAATGTCCCACAGCCCGTGTTTCTGTGCACCTGTGAACACTCGTGGGAAATGACCCATGACCTGTGTTTCTGTGCACCTGCAGACACTCGTGGGAAATGTCCCACAGCCTGTGTTTTTATTCCACTTGTGAACACTCGTGGGAAATGTCCCACGGCCCGTGTTTCTGTGCACCTGTGAACACTCGTGGGAAATGACCCATGACCTGTGTTTCTGTGCACCTGCAGACACTCGTGGGAAATGTCCCACAGCCTGTGTTTTTATTCCCCTTGTGAACACTCGTGGGAAATGTCCCACAGCCCGTGTTTCTGTGCATCTGTGAACACTCGTGGGAAACACCCAACGGCCCGTGTTTCTGTGCACCTGTGAACACTCAAGGGAAATGTCCCATGACCTGTGTTTCTGTGCACCTGCGGACACTCGTGGGAAATGCCCCACAACCTGTGTTTTTATTCCCCTTGTGAACACTCGTGGGAAATGCCCCACAGCCTGTGTTTTTATTCCCCTTGTGAACACTCGTGGGAAATGCCCCACAGCCTGTGTTTTTATTCCCCTTGTGAACACTCGTGGGAAATGTCCCGTGGCCCGTGTTTCCGTGCACCTGCGGATACTCATCAAACACCAGGCTGTCATTGTGGACAGGGTGAGCTCTGGCTGTTGGTGCAGCATGGTAGGAAGAGCACCAGGTCCTGGACTCTGGTGATTTATATTAGACCCTAATTCTGAGCTGTGGTCTTGGCTAAGCCTTGGACGCTGTGTTATCTAACGTGTGGGGAGGGGGCTTACCTCAGAATGTGGAGAATTACTTAATCCATGTGAACTTCCCGGTGCTGGAAACACAGAATAGACCCTAAATGACCACTGTTTTATTTATTATTGTCTCAGAATTGTTTAGAGCTAAATAATGATTCAGTATGTGATTTTCTAGAAAACTCACGGAAGGAGATAAGACTTGCTTTTCATGAAAATTGGTACTTGAACTAACAAACAACGGCCACCTACCACTGAGGCTGTGGCCTTGGGACACGCTGCTGTGTCCTTCAACACCGTCGGGCAAAAGCCGTTGGGGTGAGATGGAAGCAGAAGCACAGTGCACAGAGGCCAGCCTGGGCTCACAAAACTGCTCAGAGCTTCACAGAGGCCATCATGGGCTCACACAACCTCTCAGAGATTCACAGAGGTGAATGTGGGCTCACAAAACTGCTCAGAGCTTCACAGAGGCCATCATGGGCTCACACAACCTCTCAGAGATTCACAGACGTGAATGTGGGCTCACAAAACTGCTCAGAGCTTCACAGAGGCCAACATGGGCCACAAAACCTCTCAGAGATTCACAGAGGCAAATGTGGGCTCACAAAACCGCTGAGATTCACAGAGGCCAACATGAGCTCACAAAACCGCTCAGAGCTTCAGTGGAGTCAGATTTTGGTCAGGCTGAGGGCCCGATTCTTAGCTAATTATTTCCAGTAATGTCTACTTTTAAGCAATTATACTTCTAATGTCTGTTTAATAAAAAACAGATGAGGTAGACTATTACCAAATGGTGCCATAAGACAGAAATATAATAACTGTGTAAAAAAGAGCACTACTTTAATATAACCTTAAGCAAAATAACACTTTTTATTAATACTAAAGCTTTTAGATGTAATTAAATAAAATATGACATGCAACAAATTAATGTAATTCAAATGTGATTACTTTGTTCCAATAAAAAAACTTCAATTATTTTACACTTAGCTGGTTTTTCTAAAAACATGCTATTTTTGAGAGTTTTAAAACAAATACACTCACTCACTGAAAAGGGACGTTTTGGTCAATGACAGACCCCGTATGCAGTGGTGGTCCCGTGAGATAATCATGGAGCTGAAATTCCCCAGTGCCTGGTGACACAGCAGTCCTAACGCCAGAGTGCCACGCATTGCTCACTGTTTGTGGTGATGCTGTGTAAACAAGGCTGCGATGCGGTAACTGTAACGTCCAGCACATACAACCATGCACCGTACACAATGCTAGATAATGATAATAAATGACTATGTTGCTGGTTTATGTATTTACGATACTTTTTATCCTTATTTTAGAGTGTACTCCTTCCACTTATGTTTTAAAAGGTTAACTGTAAAACAGCCTCTGGCAGGTTCTTCAGGAGGTGTTCCGGAAGAAGGCATGTAGATAGACAAATGCTCACCATTGTGTTACAGTCACGTGCAGCGTTCAGTGCAATCCCAGGCTGCACAGGTGTGTAGCTCCAGAGCAACAGCCTGGGCCCCAGAGCCTCAGTGTGCAATAGGCCATGCCCTGGAGCCTCAGTGTGCAGTAGGCTGTGCCCCAGAGCCTCGGCGTGCAGTAGGCTGAGCCCCAGAGCCTCTGTGTGCAGTAGGCTGAGCCCTAGAGCCTCAGTGTGCAGTAGACTGAGCCCTAGAGCCTCGATGTGCAGTAGGCTGAGCCCTAGAGCCTCGATGTGCATGCAGTAGGCTGAGCCCTAGAGCCTCAGTGTGCAGTAGGCTGAGCCCCAGGGCTGCTGTGTGCAGTAGACTGAGCCCCAGAGCCTCGATGTGCAGTAGGCTGAGCCCCAGAGCCTCAGTGTGCAGTAGGCTGAGCCCCAGAGCCTCAGTGTGCAGTAGACTGAGCCCTAGAGCCTCGGTGTGCAGTAGGCTGAGCCCTAGAGCCTCGGTGTGCAGTAGGCTGAGCCCTAGAGCCTCGGTGTGCAGTAGGCTGAGCCCCAGAGCCTCGGTGTGCAGTAGGCTGAGCCCCAGAGCCTCGGTGTGCAGTAGGCTGAGCCCCAGAGCCTCGGTGTGCAGTAGGCTGAGCCCCAGAGCCTCGGTGTGCAGTAGACTGAGCCCCAGAGCTGCTGTGTGCAGTAGACTGAGCCCCAGAGCTGCTGTATGCAGTAGACTGAGCCCCAGAGCCTCGATGTGCAGTAGACTGAGCCCCAGAGCCTCGATGTGCAGTAGACTGAGCCCCAGAGCCTCGGTGTGCAGTAGGCTGAGCCCCAGAGCCTCGGTGTGCAGTAGGCTGAGCCCCAGAGCCTCGGTGTGCAGTAGGCTGAGCCCCAGAGCCTCGGTGTGCAGTAGGCTGAGCCCCAGAGCCTCGGTGTGCAGTAGGCTGAGCCCCAGAGCCTCGGTGTGCAGTAGGCTGAGCCCCAGAGCCTCGGTGTGCAGTAGGCTGAGCCCCAGAGCCTCGGTGTGCAGTAGGCTGAGCCCCAGAGCCTCGGTGTGCAGTAGGCTGAGCCCCAGAGCCTTGGTGTGCAGTAGGCTGAGCCCTAGAGCCTCGGTGTGCAGTAGGCTGAGCCCTAGAGCCTCGGTGTGCAGTAGGCTGAGCCCCTGAGCTTCTGTGTGCAGTAGGCTGAGCCCTAGAGCCTCGGTGTGCAGTAGGCTGAGCCCCAGAGCTTCTGTGTGCAGTAGGCTGAGCCCTAGAGCCTCAGTGTGCAGTAGGCTGAGCCCTAGAGCCTCTGTGTGCAGTAGACTGAGGTGTCCTTTCCTTCTGGTTTCAGATATTCCACCCGCTCTCCACGCAGCAACCCTGGCATAGAGCCACTGCTGGAGGATGGGAAAACACAAAACGTTGCACAGACCTGTGGTCTGAACCACCAGGCTTGCTCCAGGGTGCACCAGGATAGACTCTCAGGGCATTTGTCAAACCCTGAGACTATCACAGGGAGAGGAGAGGCTACAGAACTAAGTCCAACCTCAGAAAAGCAGGAAACAAGATTCTTAGTGAAAACCCTAGTCATGAAGAGAAAAAGAGATGGATGGAGCTTGACCTAAACTGCAGCCCCGTCTCGACCCAGCACTGCTCTGTTGACGTGAGGGCCATCGGTGTCCCACTGTGTCTTCAGAGCAGAGCAAAGGGCAGGCCTCTGCTGGGTGAACCAGTCTTCTGGTACCTCTATGCTTTTTTCATATGTAATGTTATCAATGTATCCAAAATTACTAGTCACACCAGTACACAGGATGCAAGACTTATTATTTGATGAATTGTAAGAAAACGCATAGATAGCAGAAGCTGCCATGCAGATGGGATTGTCAGATTCAGGAAATAAAAACACTGGACAGCCAGTGAGATTTATTTCCGTCTATGCATGTATGCATTGAGACAACAGATGAGACTGCAGATCATTCATCTAATAATTTAGAGCATAGAAGTTTCACACATCTGTTTGTAATGACATTTCTCAATAATTTGGTTTGCTTTAAGTTTCTTGTGTTGAAGAATTTGCTTATATAATTCTTTGCAGTGATAGTCTGTGTTGCCTTATCTTGGAACATACCTGCTATAGTGGTCACTACAATATGTTTTGCTCCTTGGCTCATGGAACACTCATTACTGAGAAAGCATGGTCAGCATTAGCATGTGAGCCAGTGTGCAGAAGATGAACTGGAATGAAGCCCACCAGGCTGAGAACCACTCTTCAAAACGGATGTGCTGAAGCACACAGTACCACCTTTCACGGCATCATATTTCCCTCGTTCTTTTTTCAGGATTATATACGTCTTTTGATCAAAAACATAAAAAGAATCCACTGACAAAAAAGATAAATGTTATCAATTTTTATTTCCTTCTTCAGCATTACACCTGTTGGTTTTACTCAAGGCCACACTGGTAGCATGGCTGGTAACATCTGTGTGAAGGAACTGGATTATTTAAGTGTGAAATTCATCCCAAAAATCCATCCCAAAAGACAGTCCTGGCCAATCCTTAATAGTCACCCACCTCAAGTCAGAATTTCATTTCCTGTTGGTAAATAATGTCATCGCATTTAAGAACAGCCTTGATGCCTAAAGGAATGCATTTCCCATTGATTATCTCCTCAACACTTTCAGCAAGTTCCTTCCAGCAGCAGAGAACTTCAGCAACACTGCTGGCTTCCTTCTTTCAACTTGCATAATCTGATTGCTCAAGCACTGATGAAAAATATGAAGAAGAAGTAAGTAGGCTTCGCTCAAAGGACTATTTTAAAAGTCAACAAGAATATCTTGGGGCTATTGTTCGGAATTAACATGATTTTAGTGCTGCAGATAAACTGAAGATGCTGTCAGCTGTGCTCTTTAAGGAGACTCATTGGGTTTTTCAATGCAGAAGAATTGAAGAACACTGAATGCCAAAAATTCTATAAAAATCCATTAATCACTCAGTTCAGATCGTGTCAATGCTGCAATAAGAAGACAATTGCTTCCGTGTCTGTAGCAAAGGGATCAGCTATCGTTTTCACAGTGTCGTGGTCTTCGGGCCGGGGAGCCCCACTTCCCACAGCGCTGTGCTTCACTTCAGCCTTGAATAAACGTCGTCTGCACCTTTACGCATGCATCCATCAAAATCTGTATTTGTGTTATTTCTGCCAAAAGCAATACAACTTTTCTCATTGACTCCTAACTCATCAATAGAGAATCTCTGAGAAAATTACGATTGTTTCTGAAATCTCATCTGGAAGAAATGTTACTCTCAATCCTCTTGTAAATAAGCCTTTTTCATGAGAGGAATGTTATACCTATGAAGGGAAAATCCTGTGTGCATTGTGGTTTTGGAGCAAGGACACTCCTGGCAGGAACCTTTGTGTGTGGTGGCTGGAGCTGAATGGCTGGTCATGACAGAGTGTGGATGGCACCTTAACTCCTGCTGCAATTAAGATCCCTTCATCTGAACTCCTCTTGATAAGAAATAGTTATTTTATCACTCTTCCTGACACTAGTTGAAGAAAGAATACTTTTCTTACACTTAGTGGCTATTGTGTGCTGGTTCACAGGCACTTTCACCATTTCTTTGCTGTTAAGTGAACAATTGTGTACTGAACAAAAACGATGACAAAATACAGAATTTCAGAAGAGATTTGGACTCCATAAAATAGTATAGAATGGACATTCTAGAAGTGCAGATTAGATCTAAGATGAAGAACCCAATGGTTGGCCTTAATAACTTGTTGAACACAGAAAGGGACAGGACTAATAAGCCGGAAGACAGATCAATAGAAGATATCCATGTTGAAGCATGGAGAGGAATTTGGAGAAAAACGTACACGTTCCATGAAAAACCCAAATTCCCAAAGCTGACAAAATAATACTGAAAAAATACAAATAGCTTGATTTATACTAGAACCTGACATGGGTACACAGCATGAAAATACAGATCAATCACTTCTATGAACACATCTGAAAACTTCCTACACACTAGCTAATCAAATCCACTGGGACAGGTAATACATCAAGATGGCATGTTTATTCCATAAATACAAAATTCCAAGGTTTCAAAGGGCCTTTGACCTTTGAAAAGCCGATCAGGGCAAATCCACATAGTATTAATAACATAGTCATATAACCTTCTCCATAGGTCCAAAATAGCCTTTGATTATTCATAAAACTCCAGTGAGGTTGTAGAAAACTCCAGAAAGGTTGTAGAAGTTTCTTAATCTGAAAAAGAGGCTCTGCAGTAACCCCCACAGCACTCATGGTAGTTCCTGGGGGACACCAGTAACCCCCACAGCACACATCGTAGTTCCTGGGGGACTGGGGGACGCCGCCCATTTTCCCAGCAGCTTCCTTCGGAGCAGCCCTTCCCTGGGGACTATGGATGAAAAGCGCTCAAGGACAGGCACTGCCCAGGGGTGTTTCCTGCCTCATGGACCGATTTGCAAAGGAATTTAAGGCTTGGATAGGGAAAACATTATTTTCACCAGTGTTTAATGCAAAACAAATTTTATAATAGAAATACTTCATAAAATATATAAATATTCAAATATTTCCATGTGCATATCATAGACATCTGATGAAGACTTAAACTTAGCAACTTGTTTTTAAAAAATAAATGTCCCAAAGGTCTTTGAAATGTTCATACCTTTAAATTCACTAATTCTACTTCTAAAAATTACCATAAAATCCATACAAGTATAAATATTAATACACCAAGATCTTTAAATCATGTTATTATTTGAATACTAAAATACTGGGAAAAATACATTAAATATAAATTATGGCATGATGAAATGTTGATCTGTGGCTGTCAAATAAAAAACAAATCCTGACTTAGGTAAGGGGAGACTTCATTTGAGAAGGCCACTGTAGCAGGACGGCAAGCCACTGCTACGGAGAAAGTTTCCACCCCAGGAACCCGGGCGTCTCCAAGGCCAGGCGGTGAAGGCTGTTGTTGTGTAGGGAGGTGTGAACAGGGCTGGGAGCGCCGAGGGAGTGGGAGGAAAAGCACCTGGTGTTTCCTGAGTGGCCCTCTCCTCCTGCCAATGGCTCAAGCTGAGTCCTCACTCTCTGTCTGTCTCCCTTTCCATTTCTGCCATAGTGTGGGTGCTGGTAAGGCAGGCTTGATCATTTAATCAGAAAGATTGTACACCCTGCACAGCTGGACCCCAAAAGTGGGGTCAAGGGCAAGAAGCCCTGCCAGGCTTCCCTGATCCGGAGTCCACTGCGCCTTGCAGGAGCAGCGCGCTCCCACCCACGGCCCTGCTCAGGGTTCTGCAGGACGCACCAGCCATGTCACATACTGAGAGGACAGGCTGTGTGCACCCATGTGTGCCAACTTCTCAGAGACAAGGAGCATCTGACAGAAGCCAAAGATCTCACGTTTGCTCTCCCAACGTTTCATCAGTGTGTGCGAATGTTATTTTGAAAGTTCATTGAATACATGTGACTAAAGCAGATTTCACCAATTAAACCACTTTCTTATGTAGTCATTTTATTTAACGTTTCCAATTAACTTACTCATTTTAATTAATTTTATTTAATTTTTTAAATAAAAACTATAAGCAGAAAATAGTCCAAAATTAGTTTCATATATAAATGACAAAAATACACAAATTTTTAACATACAAATTTCATTTTAGTCTTAAAATACTTTTTAAAATTGAAACTATGGCTTTCATTGATTTCATTTTATGTGTGTATGGTCCATTACCACCAAGCCACTTAGGAAGAGTGAAATCAAAGATGTTTTGGTTCTTAAGAACTAACACAATTGCAATCACTATGAATATCATTATCCTTTTTCATATTAACAACTCATGAAATTGTTCACGGTATGTTGAGTGTGGCTTACCATGTTCCATATTTTTGTCTAAAATGAAAGCTATTTAATGTAGTTCAATAAAGATACTTTGCATTTAATTGTAGGGATTATGACACTGAAAAATATGATGTTGAATTACTTCCCTTTCTATGCCCTGCTGCTGCATAAAACATATACATTAATTTTCTTCTATATTAGTTTTAATAATTTATTTTGAATTTAAAAATAAGACAGTTTCATAAGCATTAAAAATATATGTAAATTCCTGTATTATTAGTGTAATTGCTGAAGTTGTTTTGCAGGTAGAATAGTTGGGGTGTTCATAAAAGGTAGATTTTCATATCCTTTGATTTGGAATGGAAAGTTATCATGAAGTATTGGAAAAATTACCCCAGACTGTGAAAGGTAGAATTTAAAAAAATAATTAAACATGTATTTCTTTTTGGCATTGGTTCAGCAGATATTTAATAGTAAAAATCTAGCAGGGTAGAGGCCATAGTCATGTTGACCACTATTCATTAATGTCCTCCCAGTGAGATGACGTCATTCTAATAGACAGAGGCAGCGATTCTTTGGGAAAATCAAAGGGCGAGTAGCGGAGAGACTGACGCTTACTCTCCCTACACCAATGTGCCCTTTGCTCCTCTGACCTCCCTCATTCACCAACTTCATGGGGAACCTCTTGGGGATTTGGAACCAGACCTGGTGTGTCCCCAGCCACCACCCTGCATGGCTCTTCCCTCCTGCAGGTAGTGGAGAGGGACCCGCAGCTTCTTGGACTATTCTCATCCACCGCAGGCTCTGCACTAACCCTGGATTTCTGTGTCACTTCTTGACATTCCTGTGGGATAGAGGAGCAAAGACAGAGGAGAGTTAGGGAAACAGGCAGGCAGGTATTCTCAGATATGAAGGAGTAGGTTCGTGAATCATGTCACGATGACCGCAGTGGGGGTGTGCGCACTCCATGTGGCATGCAAGATGATCTTCGGAATGTTGGATTGATACATTGCACCTTTATCTGTATTTATTTTAGCTTGTTAAACAGGAAATAAGTTTATTCACATTTGATAAACACATTTACAGACCCTTTTTTTTTTTTTTTTTTTTTTTTAACTTTAAGTTCCAGGATACATGTGCAGAATGTGCAGGTTTGTTACATAGGTATACATGTGCCATGGTGGTCTGCTGCACCTATTGACTCATCCTCTAAGTTCCCTCTCCTCACCTCCTACCCTCCAACAGGACCCTCCCTGTGTCCATGTGTTCTCATTGTTCAACTCCCACTTATGAGTGAGAACATGAGTGTTTGGTTTTCTTTTCCTGTGTTAGTTTGCTGAGGATGATGGTTTCCAGCTTCATCCATGTCCCTGCAAAGAACATGATCTCCTTTCTTTTTATGGCTGCATAGTATTCCATGGTGTATATGTACCACATTTTCTTTATACAGTTTATCACTAATGGGCATTTGGGTTGGTTCCATGTCTTTGCTATTGTGAATAGTGCTGCAATAAACATATGTGTGCATGTGTCTTTATAGTGGAATGATTTATTATCCTTTGGGTATATACTCAGTAATGGGATCGCTGGGTTAAATGATATTTCTAGTTCTAGATCCTTGAGGAATCACCATACTGTCTTCTACAGTGGTTGAACTAATTTACATTCCCACCAACAGTGTAAAAGTGTTCCCATCTCTCCACAGCCTCACCAGCATCTATTGTTTCTTGACTTTTTAATAATCTCCATTCTGACTGGCATGAGATCGTATCTCTTTGTGGTTTTGATTTGCATTTCTCTTATGATCAGTGATGTTGAGCATTTTTCTCAGATGTTTTTGGCCACATAAATGTCTTCTTTTGAGAAGTGTCTGTTCATATCATTTGCCCACTTTTTGATGGGGTTGTGTTTTTTTGTTGTTGTACATTTGTTTAAGTTCCTTGCAGATTCTGGATATTAGACCTTTGTCAAATGTGTAGATTGCAAAACTTGTCTCCCATTCTGTAGGTTGTCTGTTCACTCTGATGATAGTTTCTTTTGCTATGCAGAAGCTCTTTAGCTTAATTGGATCCCATTTGTCAATCTTGGCTTTTGTTGCAATGGCTTTTGGCATTTTTGTCATGAAGTCTTTGCCCATGCCTGTGTCCTGAATGGTATTGCATAGGTGTTTTTCTAGGGTTTTTATGGTTTTGAGTTTTACATTTAAGTTTTTAATTCATCTTAATTTTTGTATATGGTGTAAGAAAGGGGTCCAGTCTCAGTTTTCTGCATATGGCTGGCCAGTTTTCCCAGCACCATTTATTGAATAGAAGATCATTTCCCCATTGCTGTTTTTGTCAGGTTTGTCAAAGATCAGATGGTTGTAGACATGTGGTGTTATTTCTGAGGTCTCTGTTCTGTTCCATTGGTCTATATGTCTGTTTTCGTACAAGTACCATGCTATTTTGGTTACTGTAGCCTTGTAGTGTATTTTGAAGTTAGGTAGCATAATTCCTTCAGCTTTGTTCTTTTTGGTTAGAATTGTCTTGGCTATATGGTCTCTTTGGTTCCATATGAAATTTAAAGTAGTCTTTTCTAATTCTGTGAAGAATGTCAATGGTAGTTTGATGGGGATAGCATTGAATCTATAAATTACTTTGGGCAGTATGGCCATTTTCATGATATTGATTCTTCCCATCCAGGAGGATGGAATGTTTTTCCATCTGTTTGTGTTCTCTCTCATTTCTTTGAGCTGTGGTTTGTAGTTCTCCTTGAAGAGGTCCTTCACATCCCTTGTTAGCTGTATTCTTAGGTATTTTACTCTCTTTGTAGAAATTGTGAATGGGAGTCCATTTATGACTTGGCTCTCTGCTTGTCTGTTGTTGGTGTAAGGGAATGCTTGTGATTTTTTGCACCTTGATTTTGTATCCTGAGACTGTTGACGTTGCTTATCAGCTTAAGGCTAAGATGATGGGGTTTTCTAATTATAGACTCATGTCATCAGCAAACAGAGGCAATTTGACTTCCTCTCTTCATATTCAAATACACTTTATTTCTTTCCTTGCCTGATTGCCCTGGCCAGAACTTCCAATACTATGTTGAATAGGAGTGGTGAGAAAGGGTATCACTGTCTTGTACTCGTTTTCAAAGGGAATGCTTCCAGCTTTTGCCCATTCGATAAGATGTTGGCTGTGGGTTTTTCATAAATAACTCATTATTTTGAGATATATTCTATCAGTTAATACCTAGTTTATTGAGAGTTTTTGCCATGAAGGGATGTTGAATCTTGTTAAAGGTATTTTCTGCATCTATTGAGATAATCATGTGGTTTTTGTTTCTGTTTCTATTTATGTGATGGATTACATTCATTGATTTACATATGTTGAACAGCCTTGCATCCAGGGATGAAGCCAACTTGATCGTGGTGGATAAGATTTTTGATGTGCTGCTGGATTCAGTTTGCCAGTATTCTTTTGAGGATTTTCACATCGATGTTCATCAGAGATATTGGCCTGAAGTTTTCTTTTTTTGTTGTGTCTCTTGCCGGTTTTGGTATCACGTTGATGCTGGCTTCATAAAATGAGTTAGGGAGGACTTCCTCCTTTTAATTGTTTGGAATAGTTTCAGAAGGACGGTACCAGCTCCTGTTTGTACCTCTCATAGAGCTCGGTTGTGAATTCATCTGGCCCTAGGCTTTTTTTGGCTGGTAGGCTATTAATTACTGCCTCAATTTCAGAACTTGTTATTGGTCTATTCAAGGATTTGACTTCTTCCTGGTTTACTCTTGGGAGGGTGTATGTGTCCAAGAATTTATTCATTTCTTCTAGATTTTCTAGTTTATTTGCATAGAGCTGTTTATAGTATTCTCTGATGGTAGTTTGTATTTCTGTGGGGTCAGTGGTGATACCCCCTGTATCATTTTTTATTGTGTACAGACTATTTTTTATTAACCTATGAAGCAAAGAGGTAATACCTTAGCTGGGGAAAAAAAAAAACTATCCTCAATAGAAAATGACCTTTTTTAGTAAGGATGATGCATTATGGGAACTGTGTAAGAATGACCTTGGTCTAACGGGCTGTTTTGATTGGAATATATATATATATTCATATACATATATATACATATACATACATATGCATATACATATATATGTATACATATATATATATATATATATATATATACACCACATACGGATTTGAAATACAGCGTCTTTCATAGGCAAGCTATTGTAGCAAAAACATGTAAGAAACAGATAAAAATTTTATGGAAGGTGATAGCATTATAGAAGTAATATGTTTTATATTTCTAAAAAGACTTCTAAATAATGACAGCATCCTGTAGTCTTTTACAATAATAAAGCATCTACCATGAGAATCTTCTCTATCTCACATTGATTCACAGTCATCTTGTGGCAAAATAATTAAATTATTGCAACTAAAGATGACCGAGACTTTTGTTGTTGAAAAAATTTAGTATATAAGCTGTCAAGTATTTTTAAATAAACAATCTGCTCCTCAGAATAAAAGTGACATTCTAAAAATGGAGAAAAGAATGAATGTATTCTAAGTAAGTTTACACTTTGGAGAGAGCTTATTAAAAATGAATATTTCTAAGGTTCCAATAACTTTATTGCTAGAAACAATCACGTATGACCTTAATAAAACTTCTGTATCTGCTTCATAAATCATTGAAACCAAATTTTCTCACCCAGTTAGAATCTTTCAAAAAAAGTTGTTGGATAGATTTTGAATTCATTCACTAAAATATGACATAAAAATATAACATATTTTGAAATGTGGTTTATTTGCATAAAAATGGACTGATACAAGGAAAGATAGGAACAATATCAAATTTCAACAAAAACCAGAATTGGTAGTTGATATTGAAAAATAAATATCTTGGTTTTGAAAGTACATCACACACAGCTTCCATGTGGCTCTACACAATTTAAAACTGTATATATGCTTTAACACAACTGCCACAAAGCCAATAGCAAAAACCTGAACATAGAATTAGTACTGACTCATTCTCTCATACCACAAGTTTTGAGCCAATAGCTATCAAATAATTCATCATATTCACTCATTTTTCTCTCATCAAAAGCATCAGCTCTACCAACATTTCAGTAAGAACAAAAAAGCCTTCTACAACAGTCACAAATATAAAATAAAGTATCTTAAACCTATTGTTTATTTCAGTTCTATTTCATAATTTAAAAGTTCTGTTTTTGTGTGTGTTTTATAATGTAGCTGTCGTTTTAGGTGGCAGGTACAGCCCAGAACACACAGGCATGTATTTATAACATCCCTCGTTCCTCACCCGTGAATATAAACATCGCCCCTCAGTTCTAACCTTGTGTGAACTGAGCACTCTCCTTCTTTTCTAAGGTATCAGAAGTTGAAATTGTGGCCATGTAGCTCTCTGGGGGAGCCTGAGGCTGCTGTCACATCACAGATTGGTGAACAGGGTGTCACTGTGGAAAGAAAAGGGGACCCTCATCCTTTTCTCCCCTCAACCTGCTTCCCACACAAGGCTGCATCATCTAATTGGCCTTTGGGAAGGAACAGCTGGGCTTTCTGGATGACAGAATTTATAGAACATTAGAAATCTTACAGACAAGTGTTACCTTATAACTCACTTCAGCGACTCTTGCAATGCATTTTTCCAAGTGCAGATAATACAGGCTGGAGATGCTCCTTGAAGTCACAGGGTACTGCTTTATTGCTGATGTGACCTAACCGTTTTATCCACCAATAGAAAGATTGTTTTCTAGATGTTTTATTTGTTATTTTCCTGGAAAAGAAGCAATGGGCATGGGGACTGGTGTTCCCATTTGCACCCCGGCTGTTCATAGGCACTTGGTGTTGCGGTTTCTAAAAAGAATGCACTGAAGGCCGAGGCGGGCGGATCACGAGGTCAGGAGATCGAGACCATCCTGGCTAACACAGTGAAACCCCGTCTCTACTAAAAAATACAAAAAATTAGCCGGGCGTGGTGGCGGGCACCTGTAGTCCCAGCTACGCGGGAGGCTGAGGCAGGAGAATGGCGTGAACCCGGGAGGCGGAGCTTGCAGTGAGCCGAGATTGCGCCCCTGCACTCCAGCCTGGGCGACAGAGCGAGACTCCGTCTCAAAAAAAAAAAAAAAAAAAAAAAAAAAAAAAAAAAAAGAATGCACTGAGATTGAATTACTGAACCAAAATAGCCTCCAAATTTGGGTTCCAAATTTCCCTTCCTCCCTCTGCCCATAACCATACTTGGAAAGCTTCTGTCTAAGGAGAATTCCGTCCCTTCTGGATGAATGCTTCCGTATAATAACATAATTGTTTTATATCAATGAAAAGAACTTGGCTGTAACATCACACTTAATGGATGAACCAAAAGTAGTTTACTATGGAATGATTCACAGGTATTAATTTTTATTGCATTAAAGTTGTACATTTCCTTTTAAGGAAATTGACCTAACACACTCCTTAATGAGAGAATTTCTGGATGATTCCGGCTGTTCCTGCACAGACACTCACTGTGTTGTCTCAGGTAACACATCCCACACGTGTTATGTATTAGAATTTGTCATTCTCAGATGACTCCGGTAGTTATTTTGTTTATTATTGCGGGGGCAAGAGAACAGAATTAGAAACGATGAGAACAGAATTAGAAATGATGTCAGAGATTCTGGCGAATAAAGGAAGGTTTGCTTAACTTCCTGACTTCTATATTTTTAAGCAGTTCTTTCGCAGTCCTAAATGTTTCTTACGTTCAAGAAGCTACTGCAGGGCTGAAGGGACTTGCTGTGTGTGGTCTGGGGAAAAGCACTGAGGCCAGGGGAGACCTGTAGCCGAGACCCTTGAGTGTCTCCTAAACACTCCCAGGCTCACCCAGAATAAGTGGATGAAAGAATGCATGCAGCAATAAACAGGTAACACAGATTTGCTCTGGTTTGACCACAGTGAGTTTAGATCATGAATGGGAACTGCAAAAACTGTAGAAACAGGCAGCCTGGCTATCTTCGGAATGTGTATTTATCAAGCCTGTTCAGAACTCGTATGGAAACTTTGAGATTCCTCAAGACCACAGGCAAATCAAACTCTTTTTTGGAATATTACAGGTAGAGCTGCAGCAGATTGCATCTGTACTTCTGTAAGGGCTGCTTTGCCAGGAAGGCTGTGGGTGGGATGCCCGGCCTCTCCGGCTGTGGTTGTGAGGGAGGATGTCATCACCTGCCAGCCAGCATGTCCCAACTGCTCACGTTTGATCCGCAGCTCCTATAAGGACACAAAGGCCGTGAGGGCTTCCTCACGAGACACAGACACAGTTAAAGTGCAGGTCCCCAAGAGAGGAGTCAGCCCCAGCGTAAATGTTATTCTGAGAGTTCTCTGAAGGAAGAAGTTGTTATGGCAAGAGAAAACATGAGGAAATGGGGCTGAAGGCAAGGGTGGGGGGCTCCAGGATGGGAGAAGCACCGCCGAGGCAGCTCCTGAATCAGTTGCCATAGGGCTGGGGCTCCCACCCTGTTGGTGTTCCGCCCTGTCCCACATCAGCTCTGGTCTTCACTGACCACCCTTCTCCCTTCTCCCTGTTCTACCCACCCCTCTCTCTTGAAATCTCCCCTCCTTTGGCATCCTCTTTCCTTCCTAGAGTTTCCTGATGGTGGCATCCTGGAGGAGGCTCTGCGTCCCCCTGAGGCCATGTTTTCTTTGGAATAAAATGCGTCCGTCCTCGGGGTGACAACACACGTGTTTTTCAAATAGCTGATTAGGACAGCTTTCAATTCCTCACATACAACATGCTTAAATATTTTTGGACATAAAATGAGAGCCATTCCATCTAGTAACCACCAAGATGTTTTAAAAGGAAAGAGGCCGGGCAGGCACGGTGGCTCACGCCTGTAATCCCAGCACTTTGGGAGGCCAAGGTGGGTGGATCACCTGAGGTCAGGAGTTCAAGACCAGCCTGGCCAACATGGTGAAACCCTGTCTCAACTAAAAATAAATTTTAAAAAAATGAGCTGGATGTCGTTGCAGGCACCTGTAATCCCAGTTACTTTGGGAGGCTGAGGCAGGAGAATCACTTGAACCTGAGAGACAGAGGTTGCAGTGAGCCGAGATTGCACCACTGCACTCCAGCCTGGGTGACAGAGTGAGACTCGGTCAAAAACAAAGCAAAACAAAACAAACAAAGCAAAGAAAAGAAGGAAAAGCCAGTGAGGATGAAAAATGCTTATGAACAAAATATCTTACAATTTAGTACGTGAGATAAGGGCAACAAGGAAACCTTTGAGAGCTAAACCTACTTGGAGGTTTGAGAGAAGCTCTGGGTTGTAAGCTGGGTGAAGAATCTGTGAAGTGAGAAACAGCTCAGAGAGGACTTAGATGCCAGACGGCAAATCAAAGTGGTGAGACCTGCCCCGTCATTCTTCCTTCAGGGCCTTCACGGTTCTGTTCCCCATCACTCTGAACCACAGGACTTCCCCATAAGAATGTCAAGGTTATTGGTTTAACCACGAACCTGTAAAAGTGTTCTGTACTTGCAGATTGGTAGTCATGGCAGTGTTGCATTCAGTAGACTTGAAAGAAGTAGACAAGAGTTTTTGGCTCTGTGTATGAAAAGCACAGAGACAAAAACATGAGAATTTGGAATCCAGACTAGACATGGTCAGTGGATCTCCCCTCTACCACGAAAAAGAAGCAGGAGTGAGATGCTATGAATGACTTAATGCAAAACCATAGTCATGGTGAGTCCTGGTCTCAAGCGAGTTGTCTTCTGGGTTTGCATTTCTTCCTTATGTACCAAAATTAAATCATAAATTGATGTATTAGTCCATTTTCTTACTACTATAAAGAACTGCCTGAGACTGGATAATTTATAAAGGAAAGAAGTTTAGTTGACTCACAGTTCAGCATGACTTGGGAGGCCTCAGGAAACTTAGTCGTGGGGGAAAATGAAGGGGAAGCAGGCACCTTATTCTCAGGGCAGCAGGAAGAAGTGCTGAGCGAAGGGGGAAGAGCCCCTTACAAAACCATCAGATCTCCTGAGCATTCACTCACTAGCATGAGAACTGTGGGGGAAACCTCCCATTATGGGGATTACAATTCAAGATTGAGATTTGGGTGGGGACACAAAGCCTAACCATATCTGTTGTTTTACATTTAAAAAGTGACTGTAGAAGACAAACACAAGAACTATAATGAGAAAGCAATAGCCAATCTCTTCCTCTAAAGACAGGAAAACAGTATTTTGAAATGAGTCCAAACACAATTAATGAGGTGACACATTAAAGAAAAAAACTAAGAAAAAAGGTCCAATAAAGCATATAAGGAATGTTGGCTGGCTCAGTGGCTCACAACTGTAATCCCAGCACTTTGGGAGGCCAAGGTGAACAGATCACTTGAGGTCAGGAGTTCAAGACCATCCTGGCCAACATGAAGACACCCCATTGACTATAATAAAAGCCATGGTTGAAAATAAAAGCTTGGGACCCTGTCTCTACCCAAAATAGAAAAAATAGCTGGGCATGGTGATGCATGCCTATAATTCCAGCTACTTGGAGGGCTGAGGTGGAGGAATTATGGGAGACGGAGATTGTAGTGAGCCGAGATTGTGCCACTGCACTCCAGCCTGGGTGACACAGTGGGTCTCCATCTCAGAAAAAAAAAAAAAAAGCATATAGTAATGTTTGTAAGAATTTTTGGCATCTATTTCAAGCATGTTTCATAAGACTTTATTTTAAAAAGTCACTGTATGAAGAATTTTAAAACAGAGCAGTGATCTCTCTATGATAAGTCAAAGGTATGTAATACATTTTCTAATGGATCATAAAGTAGATTGTTGCAGACATTTTAAATTTATTTTTAATGAATTTCCATGTTCATTGGGTCACAGAGATTCTGGTGATGAGGGTCAGAACAAGCTCGTCCTCTGGAAGGTGCTAGACAGGGTGGTGGTCAGTGAAAGAACGTGGGTTGCGGGAAGTTCCTCTTGGCTCCTGTTCAGTGTTGGCTGCTGATCTAAAAATACTCTTGACTGTGAATGGGAAAGTCATTCTACAAAAGGGTTTTGCTAAGTTTCCACTAAAAGTAAACATCCCGTCTGTGATATGCCAATTTATTTTTATTCCCCTGTAGAATCATATCCATTTGTGTAATTAAGGTCAAGTGAAAGGACTTTATGAGGGCTCAGACGCCTGCAGTGCTAGGCATAAAAATGTCACAGAATTCATGCAGGTATTTGGAAAAGATGTTGAACGCGACCACACGCGAAGCCCTGGGTTTCATCCTGGGGGGTGGTATGGAAGCCAGGTGAGCCTCCAATCTCACAGGCAGGTGCCAGGGGGGCGCCCACCAGAGGATCAGTAACTCAGTGTGAGGTGGGACGGGCAGGACATGTGCGGAGTCCCACACAAGGGAGAAGCCTGCTGCGCAGCGAACGGCATAGGAAGGCCTAAGCAGGGGTCTTGAGGATTGGGATGGGCAGGAGAGGGCTGTTGGGACAATGGAGAACAGAGGGTGAGGGTGGAGGTTGCAGCTCCCAGGTCCTCACCAGAAAGAGACGAGGGGTATGGTCAGAGTGGGAAAGTGGACACCCCGGGCTGGGCTGAGGAAATGAACTCCATTGGCAGGAGCAGGGACCACCCTGTGTGTCCACAACCAAGTAAGAGAACCATCCACCCTAGAAGGGTGCAGGCCAGCATGTGGGGGAGGTCACGTGGGGAGACTGAGGTAGGGCTTGAGGGGTTGCTGTGGGCTGGATGACAGGGATTCAGGTAGGGCAGCTCGGGATAATGGAAAGGGCCCTGAAATAATCAGCACAGCAGGGAAAGGAAAGGGGGCTTTACAGATGTGAGTGCCTTCAGGGGACAGGGCAAAGGGGGATCCTTCAGCATAACTACCTTCTCAGCAGGTGCTCAGCCCTGGCACTTTCATTGGGATGAAACCCTGTTTACTCTATCCTAATCTTTAAGTTGTTGTGTTTTCTTGTTGCTGTTGAGTGATGCTTTGCAAGGTTTTTTCTCAGTTATATAAAGTCTTTAAGGAATTTTTTTTAATAGAAAAGGAATTACTCTTTTCAAATGCCAGACCCTAAAGGGGCCTGTTGTGATTTGTAGCAGAGGCTTGTTAAAAATAGCAAGACAGAGTTTATTCCAGTTGCTGCCTCAGGGCTGCAAGGCCAAAGTGCGGGCCTGGGCTCAGCCGAACACAGCAAGGACCTCCAGGGACGAAGGGCCAGGAATGCTGAGGGGTCGGGGACATGGGTTCGACTCGGGTAGTCTTGCTAACCTGGGCTCAGCAGCCAAGAACTGGGCCATGGCAGGAGGAGGTGAGGAGGGGCCTGACTGCAGCTAGTGGAGAACGGAGTCCATGTCAGCGTTGGAGGCATTGTGTGGGTAAAGTGACCTCAAAGGAAGTAATCAGAGTTTACCAATTTCAAACAGTGCAAATAAAAATAGACACAAAAATTGGTGGTAAAGTATATTTTCCTTTTCTCTACATAGAAGGAAAATGCATTTGATTATTGCGTTCACTCTGGCTGCGGCACCATGAAAGGAAACTAAGAGCTGGGGACCCCATTTACTCTGCAAAGAGGAGGAATGAAGCTGGAAGACGAGTCGTGCAAGCAGCTGCCTTTCCTTTTGTTCCTAAGCAGAGAACGACAGATAGAAGGTGATGCATCTCCACAAGCAGCTGCTCTATGTCCACTTTGTCTTATGGAAAGTGCAGAGTTGCTGGGCAGGAGGTGGTTGCGCAGTTGACTGTTCTGCCTGTCCTTTCCTCTTGCCGCATGTGGATGACCACACCCTTCCTCTTTCCCCTCCAGCTCCCATTTCCCCTTCAACTATAGAAGCTCTTAGCATCATCTTTGGAGAAAGGCACACACCATGGACTGTTTTTGTGATTCCGTGTTGTTATTTTTCTCCTGAGCATGCGGTTAACATTGGCAAAACAAACTTCTAAACTGATTGAGACCCATCTCAGATACTTTTTGGTTTACAACAGGAATTGGGGTGAAACCCCACCACATTTACACTATGCAGAGCTGGAAAAGGGAGGAAAGATTGAATCTTGCCCAGAGGCTTAGGTCCTGAAGGTTCAATTCTGGATGATCCTTTCAGGTAGATTTCAAGGGGAAAGCAAAAGCATCAAAATGAATCCTTATGAAGAAGCATTTCTAAGCCTGAATCTTGGAGACAAAAATATGATGTTTTCCTCAACAACACAGAGTCAGCAGGAAGAAAGATAAACATTGCTGTCCTGAGCTGGCACGTGACTTATGAGGGTTAGCCATGGTGAATCTGTATGAGTCTGCAGCAACCTCAGTTCTTGTCTCCTCGGAAGAAAGACTTTCATTGAGGGGCATAGGCAGAAGGAGAGACTAAGGCAAGTTTTAGTGGAGGAGAGAAAGCGTATTAAAAAGCCTAGAGTGGGAACAAAAGAAAGGAAAGTCCACTTGGAAGAAGGCAAGTTGGTGGCTTGAGCAAGTCAAGTGTGTGGTTTGACCTTTGACTTGGAGTTGTATCCATTGGCATGCTTTCAGTTGCATCCCTTTCCCCTGATTATTCCCATGCGGTGGGCTGTCCGCATGCACAGTGGCCTGCCAGCCCTTGGGAGGGGCCATGTGCACAGTAGGTTTACTGAAGTTGTACGTCTGCTTGCTTGAGGCGTTCTTCCCATAGTAGCTGAATATTCCTGGAAGGTCATATACCAGTTAAACTCCACCATTTTGCCTTTTAGTGTGCGTGCTTGAGCCTGCTCACCCAGCTCCTGAGATCTTATGGGGAAGCTGCTGATCCAGTTTCAGGTGTTTTCTGTCCATTGGGAAACTGCTGTTCCCTGGTGCCAGCTGTGACCAATTATTTTGGAGAGACTGTTAACCACCTCCTGGCCATCACCTGATAGTTACCTGACATTCCTGGCCAGGGGGGCTCTCACGTCTGCCTGACTTCCTGCTGTAGCATTTCCCCCTCAAGAGTCCAAGACCCCAATTTTGGGGGAAAATGGATTAAGGTCAGTCTTCTGTAACTGCTTCCTGTTGACACACGGGCAGTGGTGGTGGTTCTGTGGGTCTTGGCCTCTTGCTGCTGTCAGGGAAGGCAGATGACTCTTTAGGTTGGTGAAAGCAGTGTCTAGCCAGGTCCAAGGGAGATGGGGCAAGATTTCAACTCTGTTGCTTTACACTGATGGGCAGTCTAAGGGTCCTCTGTAGAAGGATGGCTCTTGAATCTTGAGAGGATGGTATTCCGCTGAGGGTCATCTGGAACTTGATGGCCTGAAGGCAGGAGGAGACATATCAGGTTATTAGATTTAGAAGACATGGACCATGAAGGAGCAAAAGTAGGAGACTAACAAGTGGTCTTCAAAGGGAAAAACCCAGGAGAGCCATTTCTAGGTTCCTTCCCCAGGTTCCTTTTGGAGAACAAGCCAGCCCTGAGAGGCTTGTTCCCACAAACAAGAGGCTGCATTTACAAGTTGTCTGATGTTGTCTTGTACTTTTCCTGATTGATTTACCCAAAAGCAATATTTTTTATTTGAGGCTAAGGAAACTCCTCTCTGAGCTGCTGTGAACATTAGTTAACATTGGTCCTACCTGTTGTGTGTTAGTGTTAGTCCTTAATGATTTGAAGGACTATGGCTGCTAAAGAGTGGATCTGCTCTTGTCAGCCCTTAATGATTTGAAGGACTACGGCTGCTAAAGAGTGGATCTGCTCTTGTTAGCCCTTAATTCCAGTATATGCCCAAAATTAGAATATTGATCCAGATTTTTGCATTACCCATCCCTCTTGTTTCTTCTGAGCTGCAGCCAGACATCATGGTTGGTTGATAGGAGTGAGCAGGATCAGTCTGAATTGCATGGAAAAAAAAACCTCATGAACAACTGATGAGACTGGAATCTAATAACAGGTGTACTACAGTTCTTGAAACATAATTTTTATCTCTATAGTCCTAATTTTTATTAAAATCAAATCATGATAGGACTGATTCATTTGCAAAATAAGCTTTAGTCATATTATACTTGGCCTGATTATTTGCATAAAACATAGCAAGAATAATCATAACCTCTTTTTAAAATTGGCTTTGATAGAACTTTGTTCCGTAAGGAATCTCAGATAAGACTTTTTAAAGCCTTGAGCCCTGCCATGGACTTGTGCCATCAAATACCTGTATTAGCTGCATAAATTCTTCTTCTCTTCAGGTCCCAAGATAACTTGGGTTCCTGGGCCTCTTAGAAAGTAACGTTCTTTACTTACTACAGGTCAGGAACCCTGCACAGGGACTGGGTAGACAAAGTATTAGGCCAGTTTTCCCAACAGGCCTTTATCGGCTCTATAAGTGAACTTTGATTCCTTAAAAGAGTCTGTTTGTGGCCGGGCGCGGTGGCTCACACCTGTAATCCCAGCACTTTGGGAGGCCGAGGTAGGCGGATCACGAAGTCAGGAGATCAACACCATCCTGGCTAACATGGTGAAATCCCGTCTCTACTAAAAAAAAAATACAAAAAAGTAGCCAGATGTGGTGGTGGATGCCTATAGTCCCAGCTGCTCGGGAGGCTGAGGCAGGAGAATGGTGTGAACCCAGGAGGCGGAGCTTGCAGTGAGCCAAGATAGCGCCACTGCACTCTGGCCTGGGCGAAAGAGAGAGACTCCGTCTCAAAAAAAAAAAAAAAAAAAAAGATAATTAGAATGAGACAATTGTCTGTGGATAACAAAAAACCTTAGGGCAGCCATAGTCAAAGACACAATTGACAAGGAAATTTGTCACTTCTGTGGCACACAATTATTTAAAATAATTATAGTTATTACTAATAATGTATACTAAGTCATATTAGAATTATGGAAGTTTCACATGATTTTGGAACACATACCAACAACACATTTATACAAATACAGTTCAAAAAAAAGCCAAATTTTACCTTTGCATTAGTGTACTATTGATGTTAAATCCAATTCTTAATAAAACCTTATGGACAAATCTATTTAATATTAATCAGTTTGACCATAATGAAAGATTTTCATAAACCTTTTATAACCCTTTACAGTTTTCTGTTAAAAAGCAGAGCAATGTTCTAAGAAAACTGTGTTATGCTTTCATTCCTATGTTCAATTTACAGAATAACTGAATAATACCCCTTTAACTTTAGCAATGTGATCACACACAGAATTTCTTTTACAAGACTACTTTTTCACAAACCTTCCACAACTTGCTCAAACTTTTAGCTTTATTCTATCTAACTTAAAACAATCCTTTAACCCTCTAAACTGGGCAAGAAAATACTATTCCCATGACTTATTATAATCTTTTACCAAAAGCACATTTTACTTTCCTTACATGCCTGGCATGTAAAACTGTTTTTCCAGTAGTCTAAAATATATGTTACACTGTTAATTCTTACCAACTTTTACTTTTGGTGAAAAACTATTAAATCTTATACAAATACATAGTATATTTTCCTGATCCCTTGTCTCATTTTCATATTATTTATTTGTATTCTTACTTATGCATTTTTATTAATTATAAAATATTTTAAGCATTCAATAAAGACACTCATGCACTCATCACCAAGATTACTATCTTTTATATTCTTTCACTCTCATGTTTTTGAGGGGATACAAAATCACAGATACAAAAAAATTTCAACATGAAATTCCAGGAATAGTTATTTACCTTATTTACGGTCACCTGACTTGGGACTTTAATTCTGTCTGCAAATCTCCTTCAGGGGGGTGTTGAGATTAGTGTTGACCAGATAGCCCAGGATTGACACTGCTGGGGCTGGGGTGTGGGGCATCTTTTAAATTTTGCCTCCTGCACTCCCTTTAACTCCAGGTTTTAAAAGAGAGTTTTATAAAAACAAGCTTCAGTCCTCACCTCCCTCTGCTAAAAACACATATTGTCATCCCAGTGCCACTATTCTACTTCATATCTCTGAGAACCGAGTCTGTCTTCTCGGGCCACAGCTGTCTGTCTTGTGAAATGGGAATGCTATATACTTTGGAGGGTTACCCACCACAAATTCATTATTTTACATAGATAAATATGAGAACATTTTATTTGTATTGCAAATTATAACACACATATAAAAAAGAACAAAATGCACAGTTTGGAAGCTTATGATCAATCAAACACTTTGGTCAAAAAGCAGAAGACTGAAAGTAACCTACGGTACTCCCTCACACCTCTCACAGTCACTACCTCCTCCTTTTTCTGAAAAAGGAACAACCAGACTGATCATTCGTAGTTGTCCTTTCCTCACTTTTCTTTCTTCATCCTTTCTACAACCTAGACCTTCACCTTTGAATACTATGGTTTTATCTTGTTTGAAATTTATGAAAATGGAATTCTGTGATCTGCACTCTTGTGTCTACCTGTTTTTATGCGACATTTCATTTGTGATATTTATCCACTTTACTGCACACATATCACTTCAGTCCATTAACTTATATTGCTTTAAACAAGGAGTCAACAAACTACCATCTGTGGGGGCCACATTCAGCTACTGTGGCCTGTTTTAGTCTACAAAGTCTTATTGGGACACAGCCATGCTCTTTCCTTTACTTGTTGGCGAAGACTGCTGCTCCCTGCAGTGGCCAGGGTGAGCCCCTGATAGAGGCCGCATGGCCTGCAGAGCCTACACCACTCACTGCCTGGCTCCTACAGAAAAGGTTTGCAGACGCCCCTGCTGTGGACTCCTCCCCCGAAGGGCTGTGTCCACACCCTGCCCCTGCTGCACGTTGGCGTCTTTCAAATCTTCAATTGTGTGAATATCCGTCCATGTGTCCTCCTGCACACAGCTCGCAGCCCTGCTCTGTGTCTTGTTAGGTGTGACATTGCCAGGTCATAAATGAGTACCTTTATTGTGGCCTGATGATGGCAATATTGCTTCCTTTTGTTTCGCCATCCATGGTGTGGTGGTATCCGTTGCGCTTTAATTTTGCATTTTCCTAATTACAGAAAGTTGTTTGCAAATGAGGTCTAAGACATTTCATACGGATATTGGGCAGCTGGATATCCTCTTCTGTAAAGGACCCATTTCAGTCTCTTACCCATCTGTTTAATTAGGCCATTTATGGTTTTGATCCTGATTTATGGGAGTTATTCTCTGTGTCAGCGACAAGCTCTCTGCCAGCTACGTGTCGCAAGGACGCTCCTGCACCGTGTGACTTGCTTTTAACTTTTTATCGGTGTCTCTGCAGGAGCAAATATTCTTAATACAAATGCAATCCAATGTGTCGATTTATTCTTTCATGGTTGTTATTCCTTGTGTCTCTTTAAAGAAATAATTCCCTAATAAAAAATGTAGATATCTTGTTATTGTTTACAATTTGTCTTCTTATGTCTTTCACATTTAGATTTAAAATTCACCCTACATTTATTTTTGTGTGCAGTATAAAGTATATATCAAGTCTCATTATTTAGTTTTCATATTTATTTGACCCAATATTATCTATTGAAGTAAAAAAAAAAAAAAAAAACACATCACTTTGCTCTCTACCCCAAACTCAGCCATAAGCTAAGTATCTGTGTCTGTGAGGGTCTGATTCTTAGCTCCAGTTTCCATTCCATCCTCCTGATGGTCTCTGCGCCCACACCGCTGGTCACTGCTGCAGGAGAAACCACCTGCCCATGGGGCAGTTCCTGGGGCCTGCATGTCTGCGTTGCCCTCAGCTCATCATTTGTCTGCCTGTATTTTATGTTTTTGAAATTATATTTCATAGGGATGGGATCTCAGTATGTTGCCCCATCTGGTCTAGAATGTCTGGCCTCGGCCTCCTAGAGCACTGGGATTACAGGCCATGCCTTGTCTCTGCCTCTATGTTAGACTCAGTTTGTCAATGTCCACAAAAGAAAAGGCCTGCAGGAATTGTCACTGAGATGACCTTGATTCTAGAGGTTATTTACCTTTACTGTGCTGAGTCTTCCAGAATCCAAACATTGCTTATTTCTTTAATTTCTTTAAAAAACATTTCATGACTTTGAGCATACTGGTCTTGCATAGATTCTGTTGCTTTTGTTAATGCCATTGTAAAACAAATCTTAAATACACACACAAAATTTATTGATTTTCAGCCTTTGTGATTTTCTAATATATGGATTTAAAACTATATGTTCTCTCCATACCATGTTTCGCCATGTGAATGTGTCTATTTTTTCTTGTTGTTCCATCAGCTTTTTGGGAAACAGCTTTATTGAGCTATACTTCAAATACCATACAATTTGCATGTTTAAATTATACAATTCGATGGTTTTGAGTATATTCACAAATACGTGCAGCCATCCCCACCCTCAACTGGATCATTTCATCAGCTCCAGGAGAAAAAGAGGAGACCCCTGCCCTTCTCCTGTTGTCCCTCCTTCCCCCGCCCACAGCTCTCAGCAGCCACTAAGCTGCCTCCTGTCTGGACAGACACTCCTCTCCTAGACTTCCATACATATACAGAGGCTCAGAGGTCTTTTGCATCTGGCCTCTCTCATTAGGCACAGTGTTTTCTAGATTATGGATGAATGATGTTCTTTTGCGTGGCTAAGCCACATCTCATTTTTACTTTTGTTCACTGATGGATATTTGGGTGGTTTCTGCCTATTGGCACTTTGACCCTTTTCCCAATGACAGATCCTAGAGAATTTGAAGTGCATTCATCTCCCACCCCATATGACTATTTCACAGGAACACCCTGCCCTTGCAGCAGGAGGTGCTCATGGCACGGGGCATGGGAAGCACGACCGGGAGGAAAGCAGGGTGTGGAGCGGCACCTGCAGCATGGCACCCTCTAACTCGGCAATGCCCACATGGCACCCAAGGGTACGAAGAGCATTGCTGGTGTATAGAGACCACCGCGTCTTCCATCTCTTATTCCTGTGGTTCACACAGATCATTTCTTTATTATTATAATTAATGTAACCATTTCTAACTTATGAGAATCACTGTTTCTTTACTCTCTGGATATAATTGGGTTACCTGTAAGTTTGACTTTTTCAAGGACCTTTATTTTCCTTTAGTGGATGCTGCTACTGTTTTGGCACTCTGTCCCTCCTGTCTGTCTCAACAGCAGCCGAGGCTCACTATTGACCTCTGGGTAGTAGATCCCATGAGAAAGAAGAGGGAAAGTCTGGAGCTTCCTGCATCCCTAGTAGAAGGAACCAGAGTTTTGAAAACCTGCTCACCACCACGGTTCCAGAGGCAGTGGGACTCCCACCAGAACCCTGGAAAAGAGGCTTTTATGAATTAATATGCTCAGTTCTGACCCAGAGTGAGGCACGCTGTCCTACAAAAGCTTATATAGCTTTTCATTTTGATTAAAGAAAAAACTCAAAATTATATTCACCACAAGCATTCTGTATTTGTTATATTATAAATTTAATTGTCTCTCGTGAACTTGTAGGGATAGGATTACAGTACTAATTCCTGGGAAATTATGTTATAGCTTCCAAACAACTACTAATTAATTAATAAGCCAACAAAGATTTACTGTGCAGCTTCTATGTGCCACACATTAGTGTGGAGCTGGATGGTGAAGGGCAGGCAAGAGCTGAAGTCTTGAGTGTATGTTCTGTGGCTGAGAAGAACAGTAAGTCAGTAAACAGAAGAGGTCATAATTCAGAATAAGAATAGATGCTTTGCTGAACATAAATGATAGGCAGAGGATGTGGATAGCCAGGGGTTGATAGAAACGTGATAAATGACAAAATTCGTCAAAGACTTGAAACTCTTCGTTAAATAAGGAACCAGATGATGCACTGTTCACAGTCACCTTTGCTTAGAAAGAGATTTTCATGTCCTAGAAGGTTCCATCACCCTACACAAAGTGCTGCTTTTGATCTAATCAATACCAGAGAGGCTGGCAGGGCATGAGGGCGGTGCCCGGGATGGAAGCTGGGGTCTGAGTGTTCCCAGGAAGCCACTGGGAGGACGTGCATCTGGGTTTGTTCCCAGCCCACCTGGCCACGCTGGTTTGTCTCCAGATGCCCAAACCAGGCACTGCTCTGCAGCGAGTGTGTAGGTGGTCGGACCGGGGGACGGCCCCATCCCTGTCAGAGGGCCAAGCCCAGCCTGCAGGCCGCTGAGCCACAGCCACACGTGGGCACCTGGCGCCCGGTCACCGCTCCCTCCGCGGGTCCACCAGGCATCTGCTTTGGAGCCGTCATGTCACGGGGCCACCCCTCCCTCCCCGTGCCATGCTGGCTTTGAGTGAGGATCGCCAGGAGACCGCTTCACAATTCTGTGACTGGTGAACAAACTGAAGTCAACCTTTTCTATAACAAAAGAGAAGACTCGGGGCGTCAGTTGGCTGAGGCCAGGTATTAGCTGAAGGTACAAATTGACGTGATTTTCAAAGCAGACACGCCTGTCTTTGCCTATATTTTCTCTGTGTTTTAGAGTCGTGGCTGGCATGTTTACAGGGTGTGTGTGGCGATGAATGCTTTCCATGAATATACAGGAGAGGACTTCTCCTTCCCACTGAACTAGAGCCTGGTGCTGAAAACGCAGTGAGCCGAGGGCGCACACAGCCTGAGATTCGAGCCCAGGCTTTGTCCTTCACTCCCGTTAAAGTGTGTCTGGGCTCCCGAAGCCTCAGCGTGTCTCGTTATGTGATGAGGATACCATTTTCCACTAATAGTCGTGGAGAGGATTAAATTAATTCCCGAATCTGAACGGCTCTGTGCAGAAGCTGGGAGAGCTCGACATTTGTCTTCTGTCTTTGCCGGGCTTGCGACACCTGCACAGGTACCTTCATCCATCGGCATCAAACTCGATCCGATTCACCGTCTTTCGGTGTCTCTCCTCTGTGGTGCACCAGCGGGAGGCTCAAGACACGTGCTCCACCCCACCCCTTCCCTTTCAACATCCTCACAGCGTTCCCTGTTTGTGTTTGGAGGCCACACAAGATTTTGTGCTTGCTCTAAGCCTTCAGCTATTTTGATGACTTCGTGAAGAAGAGACAGGAATGGCCACAGCTGTGTTAGGGACCCGGGACCCAATATGACCAACCTAACAGCAAGCACTTTATGACTGACGTGCACCTCCCACATGAGGATTTTAGTGAGAAAACCTGTGCTGTGAGGGCTCCACTTGGAATATTGAACATGGCACTGAGGGCCGAGTGCAGAGACGTGAACGTGGCACTGAGGGCCGAGTGCAGAGACGTGAACGTGGCACTGAGGGCTAGTGCAGAGACGTGGATGTGGTACTGAGGGCTGAGTGCAGAGACGTGGACGTGGCACTGAGGGCTGAGTGCAGAGACGTGGATGTGGCACTGAGGGCTGAGTGCAGGGACGTGAACGTGGCACTGAGGGCTGAGTGCAGGGACGTGAACGTGGCACTGAAGGCTGAGTGCAGAGACGTGGATGTGGCAGTGAGGGCTGAGTGCAGGGACGTGAACGTGGCACTGAGGGCTAGTGCAGACATGACGTGGTACTGAGGGCTGAGTTCAGGGATGTGAACGTGGCACTGAAGGCTGAGTGCAGAGACTTGGATGTGGCACTGGGGGCTGAGTGCAGGGATGTGAACGTGGCACTGAAGGCTGAGTGCAGAGACGTGGATGTGGCACTGAGGGCTGAGTGCAGAGATGTGATAATAAGGAATATATGCACTAAATTAATGTATCTGCAATCATTAATCATCACCAGAATATTGTGGAGGGGACTGCATTTCTGAGATGCAGGTTGGCGTGAGTTTCTGAGACCGTGAAACACACCTGTGCTGGGTCTCAGCTGACCCAGACAACCTTCCCTACCTACTCAGCTGGGTGGGTGGTGCCTGTGGACTTGCTTATGTGGCCTCTGTCATAGTCCAGGGCAACGGACCGGGGAAGGCCTCCGTGGGCCCGTGACAATTTTATGGCTCCCCTTCCCCAGTGAGGGTCAAACAGCAGCCACAAAGAGCCTCTGACTCCTCCATCTCAAGGTCTGTTTTCTGCAAAGGAGAGTTTCTAACATGAGCCTTAGAAAGCCACTAGAGTTTTGCTTTTTGTAATGATAGTCGCATTCAAAGCATGATTCCACTCTAACAAGCAAGGTGCCTGGAGGCGCAGTTTCAGAGTGTGAAATTAATGAGACTTTCATAAAGGAGGCAGCTATGAATAGAGGGAAAGGCAGGAACTCTGACAGCAACAGGGCCAAGAAGCACCCGCTCCAGCCTACCAGCCGGGCTCCCCTCCACGAGCCTGATCTCCTCAAAATCAGAGAATGGCCCACGGAGCATCTCCATGGCCCTCAGATAAGCTCCTCTGTGACACAAAAGATACCCCACAGTAGGGCCTGGAATGAGCATCAGAATGGCCTGTTCTGTCCTTCCCATATCTGAGGGTTCACTGTGCACCATGCGCTTATTCATTCAGCATTAATTGAGTACCTACTGTATGCCCAGTATTCTCCTGAGTGCAGGGCCTGCAGCAGTGAGAACCCTGGCTGTGTCCCTCATCTCAGGGGCTTCCGTGTAGATGAAGGGGATGCCCGGTGAGGACAAGGCCACCAACAACAGAAACGTAAGGACCCGGCAAGCCCAGGGTGGACGTTAACGGCAGAGAAGCAGGAGGGGTGATTGGCGGCCACTGCAGATTAGGGTGCGGGGCTCCTCTGAGCCTGCAGGTGGACATGGATGCAGAGCCGGCACCACAGGAGTGGCCGTCTTGGGACTGCCTGTGAGGACCTTCCTGGGGGATGGAGCAGCTGATTCAGAAATCCCGGGCAGAACATCTTTTCTCATAGTGTCCTCATCTGGCTTTGGTATCAGCATAATTCTGGCCTCATAAAATGAATTAGGAAGTGTCCTCTCTCCTTCAGTTTTTTTAAAGCATTTGAGGAGGATGGGTGTTACTTCCTTAAATGCCTGTAGGATTTATCAGTAAAGCCGTTAGGCCCTTCCTTGGCTTTTCTTTGATGGAAATTTTTTTTTGTTTTAATTATGAATCCAATCTCTGTACTATTTAGGTCTCCTCAGACATTCTGTTCCTCATAGTTCAGTCTTGCCAGGTCGTATGTGTCTATGGATCTGTCCATTTCTTTGGGGCCATCCGGTTTGTTGCTGTGTAATTGCTTACACTGGTCGTGTGACCCTTCATATTTCTGTGGGCCGTCCGGTTTGTTGTGGCATAATTGTTTACACTGGTCATCTGACCCTTCGTCTTTCTGTGGTGTTAGCTATGAGGTCTCCTCCTTCATTTCCCGTTTTATTTATTTGAGTCTTTCTTAATTAGTCCAGGTAAAGTTTTGTTGACTGTTTATCTTCTCAAAAAGCCAACCGTTCACATTGGTAGTGTATTTGTTTTTGTTTTAGTATCAAAAAAAGACAAGAAAGAGGATCATGATATGAAACCAGGGAGGTGGACCCGGGGGAGGCTGGGATGCAGATGGGGCCAGATCATGGAGCTTTATAAATCAGGGAGAAGAATCCTGAGTCCAGTGGAAAGCCATTAAAGGTTTCAATTAAGACATGACATCTGATTTAGGTCTTGTAGAAAGATCATCTGGCAGCTCTGTGGAGACAGGACCATAAGGGGTGATGCCCCAGGGGAATCACTGCAGCCCAGGCAGATATGGCCTGGGTGGGGCGAGGGGTGCAGATGGAGAGAGATCACGCATCGGCCTTTCAGACTCTTCTGAGCATGTGTCTTCTTGGTCCCCTGGCCTACTCTGGAGTCTCTGTCTCATGTGGGCAGGAGAGAGGCGCCCAGGTCTCTGCTCTCCAGAATCCCTGGGGGCCTCTGAACCTGGGTCATCAGACGTCTTCCACTGTCAGCCCTTTGAATGGATTTTAAATCAGTTAAAGCATTATGGGATTATTTTTAATGGTGAGAAACAAAAGGGAATTGTACACTATGCATATGTGTGTCCATGCATGCATTAGTGTGTGTCCACGCATGAATTGCTGTGTGCGTCATGTATGTGTGTGCATGTGTATCCTGTGTGCATGAATGTGCATCACATATGCATGTGTGTGTCCTGCATGTGTGTATACATGAATGTGCATTTTTGTATGTGTCATTTATGTGTGTGCAAGGTGTGTGTTTGTGTGTCTTGCGTGTGTGTATGCATGAATGAGCATCTGGAGTGCATGTGTGTGTCATGAAAGTGTGTGCACATGTGTGTCCTGCATGTATGTATGCATGAATGTGCATCATGTGTGTGTTATTATGAAAGATGAGGCTTCAGTCCCCACAAAACTTGTGTCATCCCTCGGAAGTCTGCAGCACACCCAGCAGACATTTCCTCTGGTGGCAGAGGGTACACAGTGCACAGGCCCTTCCCTGGGTTGCTTCCATGGTAGGGTTTCATCCTTGTGCTAATATTACAATAACAAGAAACGCCACATTTCAATTTGGGTAACAATGCTTCAAGGTGGAGCAGCACATGGTCTGACTAATTCCAGGTGTGGGAATGTCTGGGCAGAGTTCTGGCCACATTTGCATCTGGGACAGGAGCACAGACACGGTTTAAATGCCATATATTTGCCTCTGTGAAAGTCCTTGTCTGCACTAACAATCTGTCAAATAATCCTCCTGCCTTGCCCAATATCCCTTCCTTATGCTGGGAAGGTAAACCTTGTCTGGAGAATCCCCAGGCCCCTGGCATCTCTGCCCTTTGATATGGAGCTAAGTGAACTCTGTGGAAGGTCTCAGTCTGGAACAAGCTGCTGCACAGGGCCCAGCCGACCAGACCGGAATGAGCCGCAGGTCCCACACCATAAAGGAGGAGCTGAGAGATTTATTTATCTGACCTCCGGAGACATCAGGAGAAAGCCCACAGAAGCCAGATCTCCAAATGGGCCGGTCCTAGCGGGCATGGTAAGCAGGTTCCTCTGCTTCAACCTTGACAAGAAAAGTAACCAGACCCACCGGAGTCCTTTACGAGAGACGGTCGTCTGTTCTACTGCTCTACTCTTGTTCGACTGTTCTACTCTTATAAAAGAGACAACCCCCTTGTGTTGTGTTTCCCGCTTCCTTTTCTGTCTATAAAATCACAGCCTCCTCTGCTAGGTTCATTGGGATGGGCATTCTCAACACTGATCAAGATCTTTAATCTAAACTTGTTGTAATTTTGTCTTCTGGCACTGGCAACGGGAGGTTCTGGAATGGCCTCATGGCCTTGTCCTTCTCTTCTTTGCTCCCCACTCTCCTAACTGTACCTTAAGGGGTCTCTCAATTACATGTGTGGACATTGGAGTCCAGTTCCCCATCCAGCCACCCCAGAGCAGCTGCCCTGACCAGCCCCCCTCCCTGCAAGCACTGGGCTCCCTGCGAGCACCAGGCTGGGCACGCATCTCCCTTCCTTGGTGCTCACCCACTTGAGAGCAGACCCAGAGTGACATTGACAGGCAGACAGGGTGCACCCCATACACCTGGGCCAAGTCTGCGGCTGACTGCACCCTCCTCCTCACCATGCAGGCTCAAGGGAGGGACTGCCGGGCCCTGACCCAGAGGCCAGGTTTCTGATCTGTCTTGGCCACAGGGAGGTCACACTCTTCTCTAAAGTTCAGCTTTACCACCTGAAAAGGAGGAAGTCAATCATTCTGACGTTTCCTCTTGGCTCTTACAATCTATGATACCCACTAATTCGAGGACAGATCCCAGTAATTATCTTCAACCAAAGAATTAAAACAATAGACAAAAATGAGACCTTGACTCATATAATTAAAGGTTATGTTCTGATTAGGACAGGAAAATTAACATATGCGTTAGAGTTTGAAGTCCGAATTTTGGACCATATTGCCATATGGAAATTAAGAGCAGGCTGATAAACACAGTCCCAGCTTTGGGCATGAAGAATCCCTTTTGTTCCAGATCTAAACAGCACCTGCATGGGTTGAATGAGTGATTTAGCCTTGAAGTCAATACTTGAAATAGAAAATTGGGATTTCTTCTTTCCTCTGCCAACTCTTTGCCAGAGGCACTACTGAGCCATGATGTGCTTCAAAGAGGGTCAGAATGAACGATGGGATGCATCTAGTTATAATAATTTACTCTTAATAATATATAATAAAAGCTTGGAAATCCACATTAGAAATGTATGATCTTTAAATATAAAAAGCCAAATTTGTGCATTATTTATTTCAAGAAACCATGTGCATGAATTTTTAATATTTAATGTCATTGCATTTGGTGTTTGAGAATTTACTCATCAATATAGTTCACATCATAGTTTAAAATATTCTTTTAACTGGAAATGATGATGGAAGCCTATAAAATGGTCAACACTTTGAACAAAAATCTAGATTGTTTTATACAATAAAGACAATAAAATAAATTCAAATGAGAAGAGAAATAAACACAAGATTATTATAGTAAAGATGATGTCTTCAGGATCATCAGAGACTGCTGATGCTTTTGATTCAGGGCCCAAGGGCTTTCATGTCCTGATGACCAGACCATTCAGGGTGACCATGTAAGAACCCGCTCCACCTTCCACATCACAGCATCCGATTTGCCACTGATGCCCATGATGGAACTGAAACAACATTTTTGTCATTGCAGTTTGAGTGTTCCTTGCCTTCGGATGCCCACTCTCTGCTTGGAGGGAATGCCCATGATTTTAGTTGTTGGACAGCTTTTGGTTTTGATTTTTAATTACAAAGAAAAAGCACACAACTATTACAGAGTGCCTCTCATAGATGTTAGTTTCAGAGCAAATTTTGGGACAAATTAATAAGTGACCCCAGCAAATGATCTCAATTCAAAGCACAGCTCCCTTTGGTATTCATTCCATGGGCGGCATTTGTGAGCCAGGCCCACATACTCGGGAGTGATGGACCAGACACCCTCTGCGGTGCCCCCTCGTTCCCCAGGTCCCAAACCACACGGGACAGCAGTTTAGAGAATCACCAGGACTTGGCCTCTGACCTTTGTGGTGACTGAGATAGGAAAATTCATTTGTCTGGCCACAGTCTAAGGGAGGGCTGTGTAACATCCCAAAACACTATGGGTAAAATCAACCCGCTCAGTTGGCCACTCCCATTCAGTGATCTCAGTGGACCCTAATGGGTAGGAAGCCCAGTCTCCCTATTCCAGACCGACTTTCTCTCTGATCCCCCACTCCTGTGCCGCCCTGGAATTTTCAGAGCAGGAACAGGCCTCTGGCCTACGTGTAAGGCTCACTCATGCCCTTGCTGTATGTGAGGTGTAAGCGCTTGATGTAAACATTCCCCACAAACGGCCATATTTGATCTGCTAATACACGTCCGTCTCTGGACATTGGAGCTACTGGCATTCCCGGTTTCCTTGCTCTTCGGTGTCTGTGTGTCCAGTTTGCTTTGCCCGCTCCTGGTCCACCTGCCCAGAACGGGGATGATGCTGCATCCTCCCCTCTCCCCAGGAGCTCTATCCCAGTGATCTTAGTGCTTTGCCTTATTTTGATGACCCCCTCCCCCAATGCTATTAATTCCTAAAAATGTGTCTCCCCCTGGGTCCTCATCAGAGAGTTTGGGTCCCATGTGTGACTCTTTGAATGGCATATTCACTGGTATGCCACCAAGATGTGTCAAAGCTGAACTCATAATCACCTCCTGCCTCTGGGCTCAAATTCCCTTTGTCCAAGTCCTCCTTTCTCAGTATGCAACCAGGAAGTTCTCATTCCAGTTACTGCTGAATGTCTGGGCTCAAATTCCCTTTGTCCAAGTCCTCCTTTCTCAGTATGCAACCAGGAAGTTCTCATTCCAGTTACTGTGGAATGTCTGGAGGAACACCAATACTTTGCCAAGACAACTAAAACATTTGGACAAAATCGGGGGGAGCATCCATGCATATGCAAATTAGGCAGGTCTCATGGTTTCAGATCTTAAGAAAATAAGACTCAGAAAAGTGATGGTCCTATCAGTGTTGTCTTTCTATTGAGGCATTTTAAAAATGTGTAACCTCCGTGAATCAAGAAGCTAAGAAACCCAAGAGAACAGAGCTGCAAATCAGACTGGATTCTGGGCGGTGCTGGAGGTGGAAGTTGAGACCAGGATTTCTGAAGAGTGAGGGGCCCCAGGGATCCCATAGGCTCCTTCAGGGTACCCTGGAAGCCCCTGCTCTAAGGGTACCCTGGAAGCCCTTGCCCTGAGGGGTGAGTGGGATAATCAGAGCCTCCTGCAAGCCACACGCCAGCCTCCTGGTAACTGAAATCTCCACTTTAGGTGTAACGTATGGCCCACATATTGGCATTAACATTGGCCATTTAAATGACAGCTTTATACACACATGAAATAGATAATAGCACGGATAGTTTTACCACAATGATGGAATCCATATAAAAGAAGCAAATAGAAATTCTAGAATCGAGGAGACAATCGCTGTAATGAAGAGCTCACCGGATGTAAATGCCAGAGTGGGCAGAGCAAAGAAGAATCAATGCCGTAGAAGTTACTTTGTTAGAAAATACTGAAGTTGAAGAACAGAGAGCCAAAAAATGCAGACACCATATGAAAGGCATACTGGACATGATAAAATGTCTAACATGCATGCAATTGGATTGATAAAAACCAAAGCATGTCAGTAAACATTCTAATTCAAGCATAGTACAGATGAAAAAAAATAATAAAAAAGCAACACCATGTCAACTGTGCCAGGGACAGAATCAAAAGCTGGAACTCATGGGCCATGTGAGCCCCAGAAGAGAATAATAACACATCAAAATGGATGAAACATTTGTAGAAAATAACTTAATCAGAAACAGTGATTCTCAGCTCCAGGAAACACAGCAAGCCGTCAGAGGCCAGAGGCTGAAAGCTGAAGATAAGCTGGACTCTTAGGAGCCACCTGATAGGAACAATGATACAGCTGACTAATGATGCTTTGTCACAAAACTAATGGAATACAGAAGAATGGCGTGAACCCGGGAGGCGGAGCTTGCAGTGAGCCGAGATCGCGCCACTGCACTCCAGCCTGGGCGACAGAGCGAGACTCCGTCTCAAAAAAAAAAAAAAAAAAAAAAAAGAAGAAAATGTCACCAAAAATAAAAAGACTTTCAACTGACAAACATATCTAGAAAAACTATCTTTCAAAGATGAAGGGTAAATAAAAACATTTTAAGATGAATTAAAGCTGGATGAGTGTGTTGCCAGCAGATCCACACTTCAAAAAACGCTAAAGAAAATTCTTCAGGCTGAAGAGAAATTATACCCGATGAAAAATGGTGTCATAAAGTAATGAAGAATACTAGAGATAATAAATATGAAAATAAATAAAAACAATTATTTTCCTTCTTTGCTTAAATTCTTCAAAATTAATTGGTTATTTCAAACAAAAATAGAAAAGATAGTTTTATAACATAAAATTTAAATGTGAGGCAACACTTGCAGATAGCAGGGAAGACAAGTGGATTTATAGTAGCATGAGGTTATTTTACTGTAGATGAAGTCACACAATATTACATCAGAGTAGACCATAAAAATAAAAATGGATATAATAATTTTAAGAGAAAACACTGAAAAAAATAATGCAGTCAAAAAGTCAATAAAAGGACGAAATGCATAATAAAATTTACTAATTTATGCCAAAATAAAACAGGAAAATAAAAGGACAAGAAAAGAGGACATACTGAAAAGGAATGTTGAGGTGGGAGGCCTCTATTCACAGGCAGAGCGTCGGTGAGGCTGTCAGTGAACCTTGGGCCTCATGACGTTGGGAGACCTCAATTCACAGGCAGAGTGTCGGTGAGGCTGTCAGTGAACCTTGGGCCTCATGACGTTGGGAGACCTCAATTCACAGGCAGAGTGTTGGTGAGGCTGTCAGTGCCCTTGGGACTCATGACGTTGGGAGACCTCGATTCACAGGCAGAGTGTCGGTGAGGCTGTCGGTGCCCTTGGGACTCATGACGTTGGGAGACCTTGATTCACAGGCAGAGCATCGGTGAGGCTGTCAGTAAACCTTGGGCCTCATGACATTGGGGGACCTCGATTCACAGGCAGAGCGTTGGTGAGGCTGTTGGTGCCCTTGGGCCTCATGACGTTAGGAGGCCTTGATTCACAGGCAGAGTGTCAGTGAGGCTGTCGATGACCCTTGGGACTCATGATGTTGGGAGGCCTCTATTCACAGGTAGAGCCTTGGGGAGGCTGTCGGTGACCCTTGGGACTCATGAAATTCTTCAAAATGAGGTTAATGTGGTGGACAGACCAGACCCTAGCAGCGTCACATTTTCATGACTGTATAATCCCTTCCTTTGAGTGTGGGTGGGACCAGTCACTTGTTTCTAACCAATATAAAATGGCAGCAGTGATGGGAATCACTCTCTTCGTTACATGACCATATTCATATATAGCTCTGTCTTGCTCACATTCACCAGAAGGACTCTCTTTCCACTACTGCCTTGAATAAGTGAGTTGCTGCATCATGAGAGGCCTCTGGAGGTGTCAATGGCAAGGAACTGCAGGGGAGCTGTATCCGCTGGCTGAAAGGAGCCCCCAGCTGACATCCACAACAGAACAGAACCTTAGTCCTCCAACTACAAGGAGATGAATTCAGCCAACAACACGAAGGAGCTTGGAAGCAGACCTTTCCCTTCCCCAGTTCAACCTCTGATGAGCCCACAGCCTTGGCCAACACCCGGACTGTAGCCTTTTGAGACCCTGAGCAGATGACACAGCTAAGCTGAACCCTGACTTTTCACCTACAGAAACTGTGAGATAATAAAAGAGTGTTGAGCTTCTAAGTTTTTGGTAATGTGTTATGCAGCAATAAAAAAACTAGTATGTCCATTGAAAACAAATGAGGCTTGGCCGGGCATGGTGGCTCACACCTGTAATCCCAGCACTTTGGGAGGCTGAGGCTGATGGATTGCCTGAGGTCAGGAGTTTGAGACCAGCCTGGCTAACATGGTAAAACCCCATCTCTACTAAAAATGCAAAAAAGAAAATTAGCTGGGCATGGTGGCACATGGCTGTAGTCCCAGCTACTTGGGAGGCTGAGGCAGGAGAATTGTTTGAACCCAGGAGGCGGAGGTTGCAGTGAGCCAAGATTGTGCCACTGCACCCCAGCCTGGGCCACAGAGCAAGACTCCATTCCAAAAAAAAAGAGGCTTAACTAACCACACATGAAACACGCAGGAAGAACACAGTAAGCTGGTATGGAGGTGCCAGGGGATGGGTTCCCTTCTGTGTTCTTTCTCTTATCTTTCCAGTCATAAACTATAAACTGTTCCCTGAACATCTCAACACAGGATTTGCAGAGTTTTACTGACTGTCAAATATCTTCCCACATGTCCTGTCATCATGAGCTTGTGTCTAACAAGACCCATGCTGCACGGGGCCACAGGTCCTCATCATGTGACAGTTTTATCACTAGGCACAGGTGCACTCCACAGGGGTGTGGATCCCTGTCCTCAGATAAACAACCTGCAGCAGGCTTTCCCAGCTCTATGTACTGAAGGAGTCTTAGAAATCAGAACTCACAGCCATCTGGATGGAGTTTTCTTTGTAGGAAGGTTTTAATTAACAAATTCAAATTTCAGGCTATACTGATTTTGTATTTTTTGTTCATCACCTTTGTAAATTATATTTTCAATGAATTTGATGATTTCATCTATGTTGCTATTTATCACATTCCTTATAATTTTAATGTCTCTAGGATCTCTACTGGTGCCTCCTCTTACATAATGACTTATTTTTGGAAATTTGGGTTTGTTAATCGATTTGCCTAAGGGCTTATCAATTTTCTAATCATTTTGAAGCACAGATTTTTGCACATAATGGTCAGATCTGCCCCAATGGCTCATCGTGCTTCTCAGAAAGCAGTTTGTCCATTTCTTACTATTTGGATATGTAGATTTTTTTCTACTTTTCCACCCTAACGTGAACATCTGAATATATTTCCTTATATAAATATATTAGTGATACTCTAAGATATATTTTAAAGCTGGAATTGCTATGTTATAGCAGATGCACACTGAAATTTTAATGGACACTGTAAAATGGCTCTTCAGCCTGGTTGTATAAATATCTACTCCAACATCTTGTTTATAAGAGTTCATTTTCTCTACATCCATGATAACTTACTTGCCCATATCTGTTATTTTTTTAAAGCAAATAACTAAGAAATTACATCTTTGATGTCTGTACTCTTAATTAACAGTGATGCTGATTTTTTTCATAAACTTATTATCTATTTGGTTATTTTCTCCTGGGTGAATTATCCATTCTTTGTCTGTTTCCTTTTTTTCTCATTTGTCTCCATGTATTTGATGAGTAGATGGCCTTTATGTAATCCTGATACTAATGCTGTATTACACATTGCAAATAACTTCCCAAACTAAAATCTGGCTAGATATGCAATTTCTATAGTGTATTTTTAACTTGTATTTTCTATTTAGAGAACCACTGTGTTCACAAATAATGAATATTTCCCCCATATTCCCATTGACTTGCTTCATTTCACTTGCTAACACCTGCAGTAAAATTTTGAAATTTATGAAAATTTATAAAAAAGACATTTTTAGTCTTGCCTTAAGTGGAAATGAAGGTAATTTTTCACTATTAAAGGATTGATATAAGGTTGTGGTAGATACTTTTTTAAAAAATCAAATTTAAGAAATCTCTTTTATTATTATTTTATAAATATTTGTATTGTAACTGATTGGTTGAATTGTATCAATTTTTTTTCTTCTGTTGAAATGGCTTTTATTTTTTACCCTTTCAATTTGTTAAGGTAATGAAGAAGGTAAATGATAGGTTGTTTAGCTCTTGAATAATCTTTGTATTCCTGAGATAAGTGTTAATTACTCAAGATGGATTTATGTTTCTTTGTAAACAGCTACGTATGACTTATTTATTTTATTTAAGCTTTTTGTATCTGTGTTCATAAATAATGTTGAACTATGATTACTGTTTTGTTTTGCCTTTAAAAAACAAAATTTTCACACTTTTTTATAAAAAAAATACTTCAATTCAGCAACGTCTTGTTTTGTTGCTGACTTATGTCCTCACATTGCTTGCAGACACTGACCCTTTTCTTAGGGTCAAATTCTCTTCTGGTTGAAATGGTCTTTTAGATTTTTTCAATTGTTTCAAATGAGAGATTGGAGCTCCTAATCTTTCTTTGAATAAAATTATTTTATTCTTATATTTTTATATAACTCCTTATTGTGGAAAATTTCAAATACATACCTAGGGGAGATTATGGCATAATTAACTCTAATTTACCCATGACCTGCCTTGAGCATTGATCAGCTCAGAGCCCATCTCATTTCCTCTGCTTCTCACCCTCTCCCCTTGCCCAAGATGACCTCATTCAATACCTTGGCCTAGGTCTAGCCTTCTTTCTATCGCTGTACCAATTCTTTTGTCCATTTTGTACTATCTGGATACTTATATTTTTTCTACCTTTTCACCTGATCAAATTATGTGCCAGTGAATATCCTTGTATGTTTCCTTATTCCATTGTGCTAGTAATTCCAATGTATATTTCTGCACATATTTCTAAATATTTCTACATGTATATTCAAAAGACACACCAACACCTTTAAACATAGTGACAATTTATTATCAAACTTGAAATTAATCCACAGTAATCTCTTAATATCATCAAATATTCAAGCACTCCTCACATTTCTATAATCATTCTAATGAATTTAAAATACATTTTAAGGCCAGGCGTGATGGCTCATGCCTGTAATCCCAGCACTTTGGGAGGTCGAGGTGGGCAGATCACAAGGTCAAGAAATCGAGACTATCCTGGCCAACATGGTGAAACCCCGTCTCTACTAAAAATACAAAAATTAGCTGGGCATGATGGTTCGCGCCTGTAGTCCCAGCTACTTGGGAGGCTGAGGCAGGAGAATTGCTTGAACCTGGGAGGCGGAGGTTGCAGTGAGCTGAGATCATGCCACTGCACTCCAGCCTGGGTGAAAAAGCGAGACTCTGTCTCAAAAAAATAAATAGTTTGTGCAGTTGAAACAATTCAAACACGTTACATGAATTATTATTAATTAAAATATCCCTGAAGACTCTACTGCTCTAGGTATTCCTCCTTCATTTCTTTTTTTTCCCCTTACATTTTTTTTTTTTTTTTTGCTGTTGTTGAAGAAACTGGATTTTTTGTTATATGGATGTCCTATTAGCTAGTTTAGCGATCATAGTTCTCATTTTTTTAAGTACTTTTTTTTTCTGTTCCCCATACTTCCAGTAAATGGATAGATCAAGATGCTTAACCGTATTCATGGTTGATGTTTTTGGCAAGAGTATTTATCGTGATCTTGTGTACAACTGTCAAGAAGGGCAGACGTGGAGGCTGAAGCAGCTCCACCTTGGATAACAACCTGCCATGTTGACTTTCGATTAACTCCAGTTCCAGGAAGTCCTCTAAGATTTCCAGTTTATCTTGAGACAGCATAAGGACAGGACTTGGCCCCCATAGGAACTTGGCCCATTCCCACTGATGTGTCTTCCCATGCACATCAGCTAAGCACCTGAGCTCGCCCCACCACCCCCACTGTCTCCATAGACCCTGGAGAAACCAAGCTAACAAGGGTTCCACTGGAAACCTTACTCACGGGAGTCACCTCTATCACTGGCATGTGCACAAGACCAGAAGAACGGCTGAGCTTTACCTCTTGCCTCATTAGAATGGTAAAATCCCCACCCAGGAGGGGCATAGGTGTTATTTATTATGCACGATGTATGTATCAGCCTGATTTTTCACTGTGCCCATGCACCCCGAGCTCTGTCCCACACATGTAATGATGTTCGCATGCTTCATGCTTATCTCTGACATCCTTCCTAACACACCGAAAAGACCTGCCCTCGGGGAGCCAGCCCGAGACCTCTCTCTCCAGTGCTGTCCCCTCGTATTCAAGCACAGACTCCTGACAAAGCCTCCTCTGGGGAACATGCATGGCCCCGTGACCTCTCTGTTGCATGGGAGCGTAAGAACCCGTGGCTGGTAACACTCTTTTCCTTGTGTGTGAGTAAGTATCTACCATAAATCGTGCCCTTGGGTCCAGACAACCTTGATGTTGCTGTACTTCAGTTGTCCCACCCATGCCTTCTGAACCACCCCTTCACCATGGCTCAGAGGCCCTGGGCCTGGAGGTTATGGGTGGGGATCCACCATCTTGTCTGGCTGCAGACACAGCTTCTGTCCCTAAGTTCCTACTAAATGTTTCTTTCTGAAAAACCAGGTTTTCTGGCCTCTTTCTCTGGCCTCTCAGCTTCCTTGGACTTTGAGGGCAGTTGCACCTGGACCTCCCCACTGTGGAACAATACAGTATCTAGTGTGTCTCATGTTTTAATGTAAGCAGCCTTGATAATCACCACATAGGTATATTAATGCATCATGGGTAGCAAATTTGTAATATTTTAATGTTACCATCTTTTCTTATTTATTAGCTGAAATATTTCTATGAAGAGAAACTTCCCCTTGTTGACTCTTTCCTCGCCCTGAGGTACAGTTTTTATACGAAAGGCAGGATCAATGCTTTTCCCTTCTCTCCATTTTCAAAATTATGAGGTTTTTTCCTCTGTTATTTCCCAAAAGTGATCACGGATTCCTTTGATTTTAGGTGTTGTTGAGAATGATTAATAATTCATGGGATTTAAACTATAGATGTGTTTAGAGTCCCTCAAGGTTATCATTATTCTTGATGTTAAAACAGTCCCATTCTTTTCCAGGGGAAGCTGTTCATGTTCTATCCTGCGTGTTCTCGAGAAAGTTTTGATGACAGAAAACATCACACAGAAAGGGGAAGGCATCGCAAGTTTCCAGCTCCATGGATTTTTGCAAACTGAGCACATTTGTGGGCCAGGAGTGGGGCCCACAGCGAGAATATCCTTCCTGCTGCTCCTGCCATCCATCCACCAGCACAGCCAGTTCCCAGCTGTGGAACACACAGGTTAGTTCTGTCTGTTTTGTTGTTTATGCAAATGGGACCATACAGTGTTCAGTCTTAAGTCTGGCTTCCCTGCTCAACATCATGTGTGTAAAATTAACCTGCACTGATGTGTGGAGCATCTCACGGGCCATCCCTGTGGCTCTCCATCATCCCTTGTGAGAATGGATAACACTGTTGTTCATTTTACTCCTCGTGGGACTTCCTAGTTTCCTCGTCTGCTGCTGTGACTATTCTCACACACATCCTGTGGCTTTGAAGCAAGAGTTGTCTCCGAGGGGTTTTTTGTTTTGTTTTGTTTTGTTGTTTTCTCCTGGCGTAACATGATGCTGTGGCTCACTTTGTGCCTGTCTTCACCAGAAATAGAACCAGCCATTTTTCCAAGGAGCAGTGATCCTTTCCATGGAAAATGAGGGTTAGGGACCAAAGCATTTTCACTTTATTTTATTTTATTTTATTTATTTTTTTTCTTTTATTATTATACTTTAAGTTTTAGGGTACATGTGCACATTGTGCAGGTTAGTTACATATGTATACATGTGCCATGCTGGTGCGCTGCACCCACTAACTCGTCATCTAGCATTAGGTATATCTCCCAAAGCTATCACTCCCCCCTCCCCCCACCCCACAACAGTCCCCAGAGTGTGATGTTCCCCTTCCTGTGTCCATGTGATCTCATTGTTCAATTCCCACCTATAAGTGAGAATATGCGGTGTTTGGTTTTTTGTTCTTGCGATAGTTTACTGAGAATGATGATTTCCAATTTCATCTATGTCCCTACAAAGGACATGAACTCATCATTTTTTATGGCTGCATAGTATTCCATGGTGCATATGTGCCACATTTTCTTAATCCAGTCTATCATTGTTGGACATTTGGGTTGGTTCCAAGACTTTGCTATTGTGAATAGTGCCTCAATAAACATACGTGTGCATGTGTCTTTATAGCAGCATGATTTATAGTCCTTTGGGTATATACCCAGTAATGGGATGGCTGGGTCAAATGGTATTTCTAGTTCTAGATCCCTGAGGAATCGCCACACTGACTTCCACAATGGTTGAACTAGTTTACAGTCCCACCAACAGTGTAAAAGTGTTCCTATTTCTCCACATCCTCTCCAGCACCTGTTGTTTCCTGACTTTTTAATGATTGCCATTCTAACTGGTGTGAGATGGTATCTCATTGTGGTTTTGATTTGCATTTCTCTGATGGCCAGTGATGAGCATTTTTTCATGTGTTTTTTGGCTGCATAAATGTCTTCTTTTGAGAAGTGTCTGTTCATGTCCTTTGCCCACTTTTTGATGGGGTTGTTTGTTTTTTTCTTGTAAATTTGTTTAAGTTCATTGTAGATTCTGGATATTAGCCCTTTGTCAGATGAGTAGGTTGCAAAAATTTTCTCCCATTTTGTAGGTTGCCTGTTCATTCTGATGGTAGTTTCTTTTGCTGTACAGAAGCTCTTTTGTTTAATTAGATCCCATTTGTCAATTTTGGCTTTTGTTGCCATTGCTTTTGGTGTTTTAGACATGAAGTCCTTGCCCGTGCCTATGTCCTGAATGGTAATGCCTAGGTTTTCTTCTAGGGTTTTTATGGTTTTAGGTCTAACGTTTAAGTCTTTAATCCATCTTGAATTGATTTTTGTATAAGGTGTAAGGAAGGGATCCAGTTTCAGCTTTCCACATATGGCTAGCCAGTTTTCCCAGCACCATTTATTAAATAGGGAATCCTTTCCCCATTGCTTGTTTTTGTCAGGTTTGTCAAAGATCAGATAGTTGTAGATATGCGGCATTATTTCTGAGGCTCTGTTCTGTTCCATTGATCTATATCTCTGTTTTGGTACCAGTACCATGCTGTTTTGGTTACTGTAGCCTTGTAGTATAGTTTGAAGTCAGGTAGTGTGATGCCTCCAGCTTTGTTCTTTTGGCTTAGGATTGACTTGGCAATGCGGGCTCTTTTTTGGTTCCATGTGAACTTTAAAGTAGTTTTTTCCAATTCTGTGAAGTAAGGCATTGGTAGCTTGATGGGGATGGCATTGAATCTGTAAATTACCTTGGGCAGTATGGCCATTTTCACGATATTGATTCTTCCTACCCATGAGCATGGAATGTTCTTCCATTTGTTTGTATCCTCTTTTATTTCCTTGAGCAGTGGTTTGTAGTTCTCCTTGAAGAGGTCCTTCACGTCCCTTGTAAGTTGGATTCCTAGGTATTTTATTCTCTTTGAAGCAATTGTGAATGGGAGTTCACTCATGATTTGGCTCTCTATTTGTCTGTCGTTGGCGTATAAGAATGCTTGTGATTTTTGTACATTGATTTTGTATCCTGAGACTTTGCTGAAGTTGCTTATCAGCTTAAGGAGATTTTGGGCTGAGACAATGGGGTTTTCTAGATATACAATCATGTGGTCTGCAAACAGGGACAATTTGACTTCCTCTTTTCCTAATTGAATACCCTTTATTTCCTTCTCCTGCCTAATTGCCCTGGCCAGAACTTCCAACACTATGTTGAATAGGAGCGGTGAGAGCGGGCATCCCTGTCTTGTGCCAGTTTTCAAAGGGAATGCTTCCAGTTTTTGCCCATTCAGTATGATGTTGGCTGTGGGTTTGTCATAGATAGCTCTTATTATTTTGAAATATGTCCCATCAATACCTAATTTATTGAGAGTTTTTAGCATGAAGCGTTGTTGAATTTTGTCAAAGGCCTTTTCTGCATCTATTGAGATAATCATGTGGTTTTTGTCTTTGGCTCTGTTTATATGCTGGATTACATTTATTGATTTGCATATATTGAACCAGCCTTGCATCCCAGGGATGAAGCCCACTTGATCATGGTGGATAAGCTTTTTGATGTGCTGCTGGATTCGGTTTGCCAGTATTTTATTGAGGATTTTTGCATCAATGTTCATCAAGGATATTGGTCTAAAATTCTCTTTTTTGGTTGTGTCTCTGCCCGGCTTTGGTATCAGGATGATGCTGGCCTCATAAAATGAGTTAGGGAGGATTCCCTCTTTTTCTATTGATTGGAATAGTTTCAGAAGGAATGGTACCAGCTCCTCCTTGTACCTCTGGTAGAATTCGGCTGTGAATCCATCTGGTCCTGGACTCTTTTTGGTTGGTAAGCTATTGATTATTGCCACAATTTCAGCTCCTGTTATTGGTCTATTCAGAGATTCAACTTCTTCCTGGTTTAGTCTTGGGAGAGTGTATGTGTCGAGGAATTTATCCATTTCTTTTAGATTTTCTAGTTTATTTGTGTAGAGGTGTTTGTAGTATTCTCTGATGGTAGTTTGTATTTCTGTGGGATCGGTGGTGATATCCCCTTTATCATTTTTTATTGCGTCTATTTGATTCTTCTCTCTTTTCTTCTTTATTAGTCTTGCTAGCGGTCTATTTTGTTGACCCTTTCAAAAAACCAGCTCCTGGATTCATTAATTTTTTGAAGGGTTTTTTGTGTCTCTATTTCCTTCAGTTCTGCTCTGATTTTAGTTATTTCTTGCCTTCTGCTAGCTTTTGAATGTGTTTGCTCTTGCTTTTCTAGTTCTTTTAATTGTGATGTTAGGGTGTCAATTTTGGATCTTCCCTGCTTTCTCTTGTGGGCATTTAGTGCTATAAATTTCCCTCTACACACTGCTTTGATTGCGTCCCAGAGATTCTGGTATGTTGTGTCTTTGTTCTCGTTGGTTTCAAAGAACATCTTTATTTCTGCCTTCATTTCGTTATGTACCCAGTAGTCATTCAGGAGCAGGTTGTTCAGTTTCCATGTAGTTGAGCGGTTTTGAGTGAGATTCTTAATCCTGAGTTCTAGTTTGATTGCACTGTGGTCTGAGAGATAGTTTGTTATAATTTGTGTTCTTTTACATTTGCTGAGGAGAGCTTTACTTCCAAGTATGTGGTCAATTTTGGAATAGGTGTGGTGTGGTGCTGAAAAAAATGTATATTCTGTTGATTTGGGGTGGAGAGTTCTGTAGATGTCTATTAGGTCCGCTTGGTGCAGAGCTGAGTTCAATTCCTGGGTATCCTTGTTGACTTTCTGTCTCATTGATCTGTCTAATGTTGACAATGGGGTGTTAAAGTCTCCCATTATTAATGTGTGGGAGTCTAAGTCTCTTTGTAGGTCACTCAGGACTTGCTTTATGAATCTGGGTGCTCCTGTATTGGGTGCATATATATTTAGGATAGTTAGCTCTTCTTGTTGAATTGATCCCTTTACCATTATGTAATGGCCTTCTTTGTCTCTTTTGATCTTTGTTGGTTTAAAGTCTGTTTTATCAGAGACTAGGATTGCAACCACTGCCTTTTTTTGTTTTCCATTTGCTTGGTAGATCTTCCTCCATCCTTTTATTTTGAGCCTATGTGTGTCTCTGCATGTGAGATGGGTTTCCTGAATATAGCACACTGATGGGTCTTCACTCTTTATCCAATTTGCCAGTCTGTGTCTTTTAATTGGAGCATTTAGTCCATTTACATTTAAAGTTAATATTGTTATGTGTGAATTTGATCCTGTCATGATGATGTTAGCTGGTTATTTTGCTCGTTAGTTGATGCAGTTTCTTCCTAGTCTCAATGGTCTTTACATTTTGGCATGATTTTGCGGCGGCTGGTACCGGTTGTTCCTTTCCATGTTTAGCGCTTCCTTCAGGAGCTCTTTTAGGGCAGGCCTGGTGGTGACAAAATCTCTCAGCATTTGCTTGTCTGTAAAGTATTTTATTTCTCCTTCACTTATGAAGCTTAGTTTGGCTGGATATGAAATTCTGGGTTGAAAATTCTTTTCTTTAAGAATGTTGAATATTGGCCCCCACTCTCTTCTGGCTTGTAGGGTTTCTGCTGAGAGGTCCGCTGTTAGTCTGATGGGCTTCCCTTTGAGGGTAACCCGACCTTTCTCTCTGGCTGCCCTTAACATTTTTTCCTTCATTTCAACTTTGGTGAATCTGACAATTATGTGTCTTGGAGTTGCTCTTCTCGAGGAGAATCTTTGTGGCGTTCTCTGTATTTCCTGAATCTGAATGTTGGCCTGCCTTGCTAGATTGGGGAAGTTCTCCTGGATAATATCCTGAAGAGTGTTTTCCAACTTGGTTCCATTCTCCCCGTCACTTTCAGGTACACCAATCAGACGTAGATTTGGTCTTTTCACATAGTCCCATATTTCTTGGAGGCTTTGCTCGTTTCTTTTTATTCTTTTTTCTCTAAACTTCCCTTTTCGCTTCATTTCATTCATTTCATCTTCCATTGCTGATACCCTTTCTTCCAGTTGATCGCATCGGCTCCTGAGGCTTCTGCATTCTTCACGTAGTTCTCGAGCCTTGGTTTTCAGCTCCATCAGCTCCTTTAAGCACTTCTCTGTATTGGTTATTCTAGTTATACATTCTTCTAAATTTTTTTCAAAGTTTTCAACTTCTTTGCCTTTGGTTTGAATGTCCTCCCGTAGCTCAGAGTAATTTGATCGTCTGAAGCCTTCTTCTCTCAGCTCGTCAAAGTCATTCTCCGTCCAGCTTTGTTCCATTGCTGGTGAGGAACTGCGTTCCTTTGGAGGAGGAGAGGCGCTCTGCTTTTTAGAGTTTCCAGTTTTTCTGTTCTGTTTTTTCCCCATCTTTGTGGTTTTATCTACTTTTGGTCTTTGATGATGGTGATGTACAGACGGGTTTTTGGTGTGGATGTCCTTTCTGTTTGTTAGTTTTCCTTCTAACAGACAGGACCCTCAGCTGCAGGTCTGTTGGAATACCCTGCCGTGTGAGGTGTCAGTGTGCTCCTGCTGGCGGGTGCCTCCTAGTTAGGCTGCTCGGGGGTCAGGGGTCAGGGACCCACTTGAGGAGGCAGTCTGCCCGTTCTCAGATCTCCAGCTGCGTACTGGGAGAACCACTGCTCTCTTCAAAGCTGTCAGACAGGGACATTTAAGTCTGCAGAGGTTACTGCTGTCTTTTTGTTTGTCTGTGCCCTGCCCCCAGAGGTGGAGCCTACAGAGGCAGGCAGGCCTCCTTGAGCTGTGGTGGGCTCCACCCAGTTTGAGCTTCCGGGCTGCTTTGTTTACCTAAGCAAGCCTGGGCAATGGCGGGCGCCCCTCCCCCAGCCTCGCTGCCGCCTTGCAGTTTGATCTCAGACTGCTGTGCTAGCAATCAGTGAGACTCCGTGGGCGTAGGACCCTCCGAGCCAGGTGCGGGATATAATCTCGTTGTGCGCCTTTTTTTAAGCCCGTCGGAAAAGCGCAATATTCGGGTGGGAGTGACCCGATTTTCCAGGTGCAGTCTGTCACCTCTTTCTTTGACTAGGAAAGGGAACTCCCTGACCCCTTGCGCTTCCCGAGTGAGGCAATGCCTCGCCCTGCTTTGGCTCGCGCACGGTGCGCGCACCCACTGACCTGCGCCCACTGTCTGGCACTCCCTAGTGAGATGAACCCGGTACCTCAGATGGAAATGCAGAAATCACCCGTCTTCTGCGTGGCTCACGCTGGGAGCTGCAGACTGGAGCTGTTCCTATTCGGCCATCTTGGCTCCTCCCCCCTATTTTATTTTATTTATTTATTTTTTAATTTTTACCTAAAACTTAGAAACAATCCTATTCAACTAAATAACTTATAAAAATTAGTAAATAGCAAAATAAATTCCTTTAGTTTTCAAAAGGTTTCTCTTTAATTATCAGTGCTTTATGCAGTTGAATAACACAAATGTTAGCATGGCGGGGACAAGAAAAATAAACCCTGGCCCGGAATACTTCAGAGTTGGATTTCGAACTTAGAGAAAAAGCATGGTATTAACAAGCCCTGTCATCTGCAGCAAAGAATATGGTTGTGGTTTTAACAAAAGATTAGTTAAATCATTTACTCACAGTTTATGCCATAATAAACTGTTTTCGAATCAAATATTTAAATGTAAAATCTAAAACTATATAAGCACCAAAAAACATGAAGATATTTTCTTATGGTTTCAGAATGAGAAATGTTTCCAAGTATTACTATAAGTAGAACAATTAAAATTTATAATTTGATCAATATTTTAAAAGTGTCATGGTTCCAAGGAAATGGACAAATCATGAAATTCGTTGCTATCATAAAGCACATTTTTTAAATGATTAAATGGATTCTACAATTCAGTAATAAAAATACCAATAATCCGACTGAAAAAATGGCCAAAAGATGAGACAATAAACAGAGTACAAATGCTCTAAAGGATGCTTAATTTAATTAAAAATAAGAAAACTATTGAAATCATGAATTATGATTTTTGATTTCTGCCTCTAGGATTAGGAATAATTGGATCATTAAGAATGTGGAAAGATGTGTGCTCTCTTCCACATTGCTGGTAGAATTGCAAACCAGCTTAGCATTTATAAAAAGCATTTGAAAATTAGACACTAAAGATAAAACGCTCCTACTCTTTTGACCTGATAATTTGATATCTTAAATTTTATTAGATATATGTTATCACATATGTATAAAGTATATAGATTGATGTATTAAAAAATAATTAAATACCTTATAAGTAATTCAATAAGGCATTGCTTAAATAAACAAGGCCGTACCTACTCAATGGAAAATAACATTTCTTTTCAAAAGAATGATAAGCTCTATACTAGTAAGGCATAATCTTCAAGATATATGGTTAAGTGATAAAACCTGATTTTAGATTGTGTGCATCATGTGTTTTTGTGTGTATAAGAATTAAAGTTGGAAAACATTAGCAGAATATAAATAATACGTTATAAGCAACATATAATAGACAGTGCACAATGTAGGTCACGATGATACAGGAGGGGCAGGAAAGGGCTGGGTAGAGAAGGGCAGGCTCCCAGTGAGGGCTCCACCCTCGGGCCTGTGTCCATGGACCTAAGTGAGAGCAGGCACTTCTGTTTTCCCACCTGAATGTTGCATTTCCAAGACCACTCTGGCCTGCCACACCCCCCATCCTGTGCCCATATAAACCCGAGACCTTAGCAGGCAGACACACAAACTGCTGAATGTCAAGAGAAGTGGCAGAGAGCAGCAGAGAGCGGTGGAGAGAGGCAGAGAGCAACACTGTGGCCCGGCAGAGAAGGAGGGAAGAGGCACCTGAACACCAAGAGGAGTTCACTGACAACAGCCAAACTCCAGGAGAAGATGATCTCCCCCGCTCCTCCACCTTCCAGCTCCCCGTCCATCTGCTGAGAGCCACCTTCACCACTCAACAGAACCCTGCACTCATCCTTCGATCCTGCTTGTGATTCGATTCTTCCAGGACGCTAGACAAGAGCTCGGGATACAGAAGGCTGTCCCATTGGCTCTCTGCCCTTGTGATAAGGCAGAAGGTCTGCTGAGCTGGTTAACACTCAAGCCATGTACAGGCAGCCAAGCTGAGAGAGCTCTGTGACACGGGGGTTGCACGCACTCACCTCTAGAAACTACTGCAGGGCCAAGAGCCCAAAGTCCTTGCCCCAGCTTCTGCCCCTGCCCCTCTGCATGCTCCTGCTAGGGGTTTGAGCTGCAAGGTGGCCAAACAGGTGAGCCACACTCCTGTAGTATGTCCTGCGAGGGGAATTCAGAGAATTCTCCAGTTTCAACAATATGCTGTATCATACAGTGTGTAACATACAACAGGTGTAATGCAGAACATGTAGCATGCACTGTGCACTGTGTGCGTGGGACATCTTCCTGTCTATAAACGGGACTATATATATACACACATATATGTATACATGTAGCATGCACTGTGCACTGTGTGTGTGCAGGGGCACCTTCCTGTCTATGAACAGGGGAATATATATATAAACACACATATATACATGTAGTATGCACTGTGCACTGTGTGTGTGCAGGGGCACCTCCCTGTCTATAAACAGGGGACTACACACACACACACACACACACACACACACACATATACATGGATGCTATTTGCTGTTATTTGTTGCACATGGATGGACTGTTTCTGGGATCATCCAGAAGACACAGAAAAAGCAATTAACTTCAGACAGGGAGTTCTGTTGCTGGGTGAACAAGTAGACAAGGTGGGATTTTACTTACTTATTTTTTATTTTAAATTTTGAACCAATTAAACACACTCAAATACATTCAAACATTAAAACAGTCGGATTTTGAGAATTACTTCATACTGGGCTCTGTAGGAACAGTCAAGGCCTCCCCCTCCCTCTAGGTCATAACTGGTCTGGGCTCAACACCAACTCATCAGGTGAGAAGGAGCCAGAAACAGCCGGATGGGTGCAGGCAGCTGCAGGGGGCCTGGCTCACTCACCCAGGTTCACAGCCTCAGGGGCTGTGTGGGGCTGTCACCCCAGCAGCCGGGTTCCAGAGCCCCACTCTAGATGTACCCCACCCAACTCAAAGGCAAGCACACCTTCCTGGGGGTGCAGCTGGCACTGTCAGCCGTATGGAGCCTCAAGCTACTTCCAAGGGGAGCCCATGACCCTTGATTCCTTAAAAAAAAAAAAAGGAATGATTTTCCTTATTCCAGGCACGTCTTTCCTAATAGTGGAGCAGAGAGAGTGCCGCTGCGCTGAATCCCGGACGGAGTGGCGTCCATGTTCACGTTCCACGCAACGTAATATTGACTCACCAGACTGAAGTCCCCACTACAGCAGCCGGCCCCGGCAGAGCTTTCAAGGAAGGTTGTAGGGGCTGGTGTTTCCCACAGCTGCTGGGCTGCTCGCTTCCCGGGATCCCTGGGTAGTGGTAGGGATGCGTGGCTGTGCAAAGTCTTCCAGGCGGGAAGAGAGCAGCCAGGATCCCGCAGCGCAGTGCAGGATGCGGCCTCAGGACTGCCTGGAGTCAGGCCTTGTGCGGGAGCAGGGAGGGTGCCCAAGGCCTGTTCCCAGGGGCCTGAGGGAGTGGAGGGCCCCCACTCCTGGGTGTCAAATCAAGTGTGGCCTAAAGCTGCCTCCTTACATATTTTAAGTTCGGCCTAGAGGTTTCTCTGTACGTGGTGAGCTATAACCTAAGCGGAGTTGTACACAGACTGTAGCCTATACTTGCGCCAATCACCGAGATTTGGCCACTCAGACGTAGCCGGTTGTTTGAACCCTGTTAAAATAAGGCAAATGCGGGCTGTAATCAGTCCAGCTGTCTCTGTCCCTCACGTCCGTTTCTGTCTGTTACTTTCCCTTCCCTGTCCATAAATCTTCCTCCCCGACGCGGCTGCGCTGGAGTCTCTGAGCCTCCTCCGGCTGGGAAGGCTGCCCGATCATTGCTCGGTTAAACTCTGTTCAACTTAATTTGCCTGAAGTTTTTCTTTTACCAAGGGCTTTCACTGTTGGGCCAGACTCCTCCAGACAGAGCCCTGGGGCCCTGCGGGGCAGGCTGTTCCAGGTTAGGAACGAGCTGGTGACTCTGGCCCATCATTCCCGCCCGTGCCAGCTCCCCCCAGGGCCCCCAGGGCAGGCTCTGTGGGCCATTCCTTGTAAAATTAAGTTCCAGGTCCACCCGCTGCAGCTCCTGACTCCACGTGCCTGGGCCATGGAGGTCCTGGTGGCCCTGTGGGTGCCTTTAGTGACAGTTGGTGAGCCCCTGCCTCCGTCCCCGTCTTCCCTGGTCCACACTGAGTGTGTCCCTTGTATGTGGAGTCTGCGTGTGTGCCGGGTGACCTGATACCCGGTCCTGTGTTCTCTAGGCCAGTTGGTGGCAAGCGTCAGGTGTGTTTTTTCCACACCGTTCTTCCTCCCGCTGTCAGTATCTCAATACATTAGGAGCCTCACTGTGCAGCTTGCGTAGGAGCTGCAGAGCTATGAATCAGGCACTCGATCAAAGTAAAGTAAATTTTGTTTAATAGCATGTGGCCATCAGCACTGCAGACCATCCGGGGGGCTTCCAGGGAGAATCCCACGCCTGATGTTGTGTCTATTCCTTTTCAGCAGCTGTGGAAAAGAGCTATTTGCTTGCTGTGTTTCCTTTTCTTCTAGCTGCGAAAACCAGAGCGCAGGATGTTCTTGAACGACATGGAATCAACCCAAATAAAATGCCTCCTGCTGTGAAAAATCATAGAACGACCACTTCAGATTTCCAGGCTCCGGGATAGCAAAGCGTCTGTGAATTCTACAAGACAGCCAGTTCCCACTGGGAGCTGATCCATTTTGTCTAAAGCACCAACTGTTTTGAGCAATAAGCCAAAAACAAGGTTTTACAGATGGTTCGTCTCCCACAAAGGCAAAATAACCTATGGGGCATCATTTGACAACTCCACACGTGGGCACTGGGACAGGAACAGGTGGCCAGGCCTTTCCTTCCCTGTGGTTTGTTTCCTCCCTTTCTGGCCGCAGACCTCACTCAGTTCAGTACGTGCCAAAGGCCTGGCCTCAGCATCTGCCATACGCCTCGGAGCCCAGCCCCACTCAGCTTCCAAGTCACCGGGCCTGCCTGGAGCACCGAGTCTCTGCACCGGCTCTTCCCTCGAGACAGCATCTTCTCCATGGCTCTGGAGGGCCACACGCCCACCTTACACTTCCTCACCTGCTCATTTGCAACTGGAAGCTTGACGAGTGTGATCAGCCAGAGAGTTGATTCACCAGAATGTCTGCATTCTCTTACGGGCTTTGCAAATGCCAAATCGTCGAGTGTTTCTGCTTTTAAAGTTTAAATCCTCTCGCTGGTAAGCGAATAATTATTCTTAAAAGTAGACTCTACTGGAAAGGTCACTAAGAGGGTTATTTCCATTAAAAATACATTTATGTTTCTTGAAATGTGTTAAGTGGCCTTTGTCAAGGTGTTTATAATAGAAGAGTATATAAAAATGAATTTCTCTAGAGATGCAGCATACTCTAAAGATCCATCATTAGATAATTAAAAATATGTAAGTCATGCTAACATTTCCATATATAAATGGAGAACATTAACTCTCCTACTGTTTAGTTATAAAATACCAAATTTTGTAATTATCCTATCTTGAATTACACTATACTGCAAAAATGCCAGTTACTCACTTTTAAATTTGACAATGTATGTGATGAATTATAAATTTAATAGCCTACATCTTTTCTCTTGTATCAAATTCTCAGAACTTAATCTTAAACTTTTGTTACTGGAGTTAAAAGGTTGCTGCTAAGATGGAAAAATACCGATTTAGAAAAAAATAATGTATATAATGGAAACATCTGTTAATTTAAACATATACATTATGCAAATGAGCATACTATTTTGTACTTTGAGGTCAGAGAGGATAAAATATACAATGTGTGCTCTAAATAGATTTGGAACACTTTATAATATCAAAGAATTTAAAAACGGTAAGATTGTCTAGCTCTTCCATTCATGGGACAAAAAATTAAAAATAAGAAAAATTAAGCAATCAGTTAAAGACAACAACAGCTGGGATCCTCCCTGTGACTCCCAGGCGAGGGCCATTTCTACAGCTTCTCCAGTGTGTGGAGTGGGTCAGTCCTTAAACTGGAAGCCTTGACTAGCAGTGAAACAGCCCGACAAATGTTACCTATTTTCTACACTTTTTTTCAAATATGGTGAAAGTTGTCAGAATGAAAGTGGAGTCGCTTTTGTTAAAACCTGGATGAGCTGAGCTGGGGAAGGCCTTGGAAGGAGGGCTCTGCTGCACGAATGCCTGACAGCAAGAACTATCACCAAAGACTCTGCAAACACCACATCCATGCACAAAAGCCCCAAGGACCTCGCAAGGGCTCTGCTGCACGAATGCCTTGACAACAAGAGCTAAAGACCCTACAGACACGACATCCACGTACAAAAGCCCCGGAGACCTCAGTCAGAAAGCACCTCTGTGAGGACATCTGCCCAGCACCTGCCTGTCCCACCCCACACTGGCACCACCCTTGCTATGGGCCCTTGTAGGCAAGGATAATTGTCTCCAAACAACTTACGTTTTCTTTAAAAATTCTTGTCTTCCTTGACCTCCCTGAATGTATTCACTGACTCCCATTGCAATGCTCAATTCCCAAATATTCTTTTCTTCAGAGGGTCTTTCTGTCTCTTATTTAGGTTGGCAATAATAAAGTCAAATTACAAAGAACTCAGAAGAAAGTTCAAACCTGTTTTCAGGGACGAATGGTCTCTCGACACTGTGTCTTCTTAGAGTAGCACCTGGTTCCACCTGTGTGCTGGTTCCGCCTGTGTGCTGGTTCCGCCTGTGTGCCGGTTCCACCTGTGTGCTGGTGTTGGCTCTCGACACTGTGTCTTCTTGGAGCAGCGCCTGGTTCCGCCTGTGTGCTGGTTCCACCTGTGTGCTGGTTCCTCCTGTGTGCTGGTTCCGCCTGTGTGCTGGTGTCCTCCTGTTTTCAGGGATGAATGGTCTCTCGACACTGTGTCTTCTTGGAGCAGCGCCTGGTTCCGCCTGTGTGCTGGTTCCACCTGTGTGCTGGTTCCGCCTGTGTGCTGGTGCCCTCTTTTCTGCCATTATTTTTATTTCCTAAAATGTTTTCCATCCTCTTTTCTTCTGTGTTCAGCCTGTGAGTGCAAAAGTAATTGTGCTGTTTGCATTGTTGGAATTTGCCATTTGATATTGGAAAACATTTTAAAATACATGTGGTTACGTTATGCATCATTTTAATGAGCATTTCTCACTTTATGTTTTTTTGCTAATAACTTATTACTTGCTGTTATTTAACGTTTATTTTAGACTATGGAAATGATGTTAGGAAAAAAGCAAATTCAAGCAATTTTCTTATTCAGGTTCAAAATGGGTCATAAAGTAGCTGAGATGACTTGAAACATCAACGATGCATTTGGCCTCGGAGCTGCTAACGAACGTAGAGTGCAGTGGTGGTTCAAGAGGTTTTGCAAAATGATGAGGGCCTTGAAGATGAAGAGCGTAGTGACAGGCCATCGGAAGTTGACAATGACCAATTGAGAGCAATTATCAAGCTGATCCTCTTACAACCACACAAGAAGCTGCCAAAGAACTCAGCGTCGGCCATTCTATGGTCGTTTGGCATTTGAAGCAAACTGGAAAGGTGGAAAGCTTAATAAGTGGGTGCCTCGCGAGCTGAGTGAAATTTTTTTTAAAAATTGTCATTTTGAAGTGTCTTCTCATTCTACACAACAACGAACCGTTTCTCAATCAGACTGTGACGTGCGACAAAAAGTGGATTTTATACAACAACCCGTGATGACCAGCTCAGTGGTTGGACTGAGAAGAAGCTCCAAAGCACTTCCCAAAGCCAAACTTGCACCAAAAAAGGTCCTGGTCACTGGTGGTCTGTGCCCGTCTGATCCACTACCGTTCTGAATCCAAGTGCAGCCATTACACCTGAGAAGCATGCTCAAAAAACCAATGAGATGCACGAGAAACTGCAATGCCTGCAGCTGGCATTGGTCAATAAAAAGGACCCAACTCTTCTCCACCACAATGCCTGACCACACGTCTCACAACCAACACTTCAAAAGTTGAATGAATTGGGCTACAAATTTTGCCTCATCTGCCATATTCACCTGACCTCTTGCCAGCCGACTACCACTTCTTCGAGCATCTTGACAACTTTTTGCAGGGAAAACACTTCCACACCCAACAGGATGCAGAAAATGTTTTCCAAGAGCTCGTCAAATCCTGAAGCATGGATTTTTATGCTATGGGAATAAACAAACTTATTTCTCCTTGGCAAAAAATGTGCTTATTGTAATGGTTCCTATTTTGATTCATGAAGATGTGTTTGAACCTAGTTATAATGATTTAAAATTCATGGTCCAAAACCACAATTACTTTTGCACCAACCTAATATTTTCTGCTTTATGTGCCATCCAGTTGACTATCTCAATCACTTCCAATACCCACGTGTTTGGTGCTTAGCTGCAATTATTTTATTTTCCAGTTACACAACTTTCATTTGTTGCATTTTTTGAAAAAGATAATTTGTGTCTGATTGGCTCCTCCACCTCATGGCTGGTATTCTTGGAGGACACCTTCATTGTAATCTGCGTCTCTTCACCACAGAGGCTGGTGCTCCCTGATCAGCTTCTCTTGTCCTTTTCTTACAGGGTCTTTGGGTGTCGTTTTTTGGTCCAGAAACCTCTGTGGCTGGTGGCACCTTTGCCTGAGTTTTGCTCAAGCCCACTGTGCTGGTTCTCCCCACTTGGCCTAGCACGCTGTGCTCCACTCACACAACCAGCCTGGGTCCGTGCCTGTTAAGGGCAAGTCAAGCATGGAGCAGCAAGGGGTGCATGAGGGAGTGTGGAGTCCAGCCAGTGTGCAGTCAGCACACCGGTTGCTGCAGTGGGGCAGGCAGCTCCAGGTACCAGCATGGGTGCCAGCTCTCTGCAAGGCTGCGGCTTGACTAGGCACACCACAAGCAGCTTCCATGGCTGGCACTGGGGAATGCAGTGGCACTTGGAGGCCTGAAGACACCAAGAACTGCAGGGCCTCAAAGAGGTAGTCACAGCCTTGGCTTGGGGAGCTCTGAGGTCTGGGATCCCCAGAGGGCCACAGCGCTTCTCTCACTCTCTTTGCCTGCAATGTGGTGAGCAAGGGGAGTATTTCAGCCCCATTTTTATGACAGCTTTTTTAGCCATGCCACTCGGTAGGTCCCAAATTCTTGTCCTGTGACCAGGAAGAATGAAGTATGCAGACAAGTGGAGGGTGAGCAGGATGAAGGGGAGCTTTATTGAGTGATAGAACAGCTCAGAGAAGGGGATAGCTCCTTTCCACAGCCAGAGTGCCCCGATGAGTGTCCAGCTCCTAGCAGATGGTAGCTCCTCTCTGTGGCAGGTCATCCCACCATCTCCCCAGCTCCTAGCAGAGAGGAGGCCCTGGAGTGGGTAGCTCCTCTCTGCAGCAGGTCATCCAGATGTCTGCTCACCTCTGGCTGAGCCCAGAGCTTTTATGGGCCTCAGAGGGGAGGAAGTGAATGCCAAATGATCCGTGGGCAGCCATGGGCAGGCCCAGAAAAGACACCACAAGTTTTCACTTTGGTTTGCAAGACCCCAAACCTTCAGGCCCTTCCTGGTCTGAAGGTGAGGCCTCACCAGGGACCTGTCCCCTCTGCTCAGGAACCTGCTTGCCTCCTGCCATGCTTCATGGCGCCCAGACTGTAGGTGCCAAGGATGCATGCAGGCCAGCCCTGAGCTGCCTTCAGCCTCCCCTTGGCTTCCCTCCTATGCTCCTTGGTGCCCAAAGTCTGGAGGTGGGCTGAGGCAGCAGGGGGCTGGTGTATCAGCACTGCCTGGAGCATGTGCACACCCAGCCAGGCTGAGACAGTGCCTGGGCTTGGCCCTAACTTTGCTCCAAGATTGGAGTGAGTGCCAACAGCAGGGAGAAGCCAGGCAGCAGGAGCAGGAACTTCTGAGCCTGTGAGGTCAGAGGAGGCATTTTTGGGCCCCCAAGAGTGCAGAGATGCCTGGGTCCACAGCCGTGGTTTGGGTGGCTGCAGCTGCACACATGGGGGTGTGGATCCTGCCTGCTCTGTGGAGCAGGAGGCCTGGGTCTGCAGCCATGACATGGGTGTCCTGCCTGCTCCCACCCCATCAACTCAGAGGGGTCAGGGATCCCACCTGTCCTGGCTCCCACTGGCTCTGTGGAATGTGCAGCCTCTGCCGTGCCTCCCCTCTGCAGCGGCTTCTGGCTGCTCTAGATGGGCCTCCCCTGCCATTACTTCTCTTCTCTACTCTCCTTTTATTTTTAGTTTGCTTTGTCCTCTCACTGGTTTACTTGGTAATCTTTAACTGAATGCTATGCTATGAATTGAATGGTGACCACCAATTTATAAGTTGACACCTGACCCTCAGTAATTGAGAATGTGACCTTATTTGAAGATGGAGCCTTTGAAAACATAATCAAGTGAAAATGAGGTCATTCAGGTGGGCTGATCCAGGATGATGGGGGGTCTTGTGACTTCTTATGTCCAGGGGAAAGGAGGACACAGAGCCGCACATAGGGGATGACCACGTGAGGACACAGCAGGAAGGCTGCCGTCCACCCATGAACGGAAGAAGCCCCAGGAGAATGCAACTCTGCCCCCACCTTCATCTCGAACGTCTGTCCTCCCAAATCACAAGAGAACACAGTTGCGCTGCTTAAGACACCCAGTGTGTGATATTTTGTTATGCAGCAACCCTAGCAAACAAATGCAGCCAGTTACAATGTGTGATGCTGTAGAGAGTCCAGGCCAGAGCACGCTGACCACCTTAGCTAAGCATTCCCTTTCTGGCTGTAGCCAGATATGATGTGTGAGTCTGCAGATCATGCTGGCCCCCTTGACGAAGCATGCACTTTCTGGCCTAGGCCGGATACGATGTGTGAGGCCACGGAGAGTCCAGGCCGGAGCACACTGACCGCCTTGGCTAAGCATTCATTTCCGTGTCCTGGCTGCCATCAGAGAGGAGGCAGGTCCCACAGATCTGCTCTTGTTTCTGCTGGTCTGAAGTGGGGTTTCAGTTTCTGTGTGGAACAATTCATTAGGGGTTTGATCTCAAAGCCCAGGCATTGGCCTGTACCTGTTCCTTCACGGAGCCGAACTCCTGCTTATGGTCCCCAGCCTACAGGCAGCCAAATGGGCTAGCCCCAGCCAAGGGGCTGTTTGGCGACCTCTGAACCACAGCTCTCCATGGTCTCTTGTTTTCCAGGCCTGAGCCACTTACAAACTGCAGACGTTTCATTCAGGGAGAAAGCTGCACATGCTCCGAGACCCACCTGAGAAAGCTCCATCCTTTCAGAATCTAGGCCCCTCTGGTCCTGCCATTTTGGTGATATGCTTTGGCTCTGTGTCCCCACCCAAATCTCATCTCAATTTATAATCCCCACGTGTCGAGGGAGGGACCTGGTGGGAGATCATTGGACCATGGGGGCATTTTCTCCCATGCTGTTCTCATGATAGTGCGTGAGTTCTTATAAGAGCTGATGGCTGTAGTGTGGCACTTCCCCGCTCTTTCTCACTCTCTCTCCTGCCACCTTGTGAGGAAGGTCCTTCTTCCCTTTCACCTCCACTATGATTGTAAGTTTCCTGAGGCCTCCGTAGCCATGTGGACCTCTAAGTCAATTAAACCTCTTGTTTATAAATTACCCAGGCTTAGGTAGTATCTTTATAGCAGTGGGAGTAACCTTGAGTGCTGAATTTTTTCTGGACAGCTGTGTTTGTCTGCTCAGAACTCAGCATATGGTTTGGCTGTCACCCATGTCTTTAAGGTCAGCTCTCTGGACTCTCCAGCCCTAGATAACACTGCACTAGCAAATGCCCAGAAAGGGAGAACCCCACAAAAAGCCAGGCCTGCCTCAACCTGCTTCTCTTCTGTCCAGAATGCGGCCCCTTGGTGAGTCTGAGATAGCGCCTGGAAGACATCTCTTCTTTTGTCCAGTGGTTCTCATTCCTGGTGGGAAGATTAGTCAGCAGGATGGCTCTGCCAAAATTGGAAGTGAAATTTTAAGAATACAGTATTTAGGAAAATAGTTTGAATATTCCTCAAGGAAAATGGCAATAGCAAGAAAGAGAATTGATAATAGTTTCTGGAAAAAATACTGTGCTGAGATAAGAATTGATGAATCAGGAAGTTAGCAGAAGAGCTGGCCATTCATTCGATTCACCTTTGATTCACGTGCTCCCGCTCCTGATTCCTTCTCTGTTGAGATACTGCTCTTTCCCTGAGTCGTGATGTAGTCACCGGTTTAAACTTTATGAGTTTTAAATTTTATGCTTTTGGGAGTCTTATTTAGGAAATCTACACTAGCCTTATACCATAAAGATGTTTGGGTACATATTCTATGCACTTAATAATTTTCCTCTAATATTTACATTTTTAAGCTTTAAAAGGTTACTTTTATGTGTGGTTTAAGTGAAGGATGGTGATTTATTATTCATCATACAATGAACCAGGTTTCTAACCATGCTAGTGAGTATGAGAAGGTATTTCATTGTAGTTCTAATTTGCATTTCCCCGAAGATGAATGACATTGAGCATTTTTGCATTTGCTTATCAGCCATCCATATGTCTTCTTTGGTAAAGTGCATGTTCATATGTTTTGACAATTTTTTTTATTATACTTAAAGTTCTAGGGTACATGTGCACAACGTGCAGGTTAGTTACATATGTATACATGTGGCATGTTGGTGTGCTACACCCATTAACTCATCATTTAACATTAGGTATATCTCCTAATGCTATCCCTCCCCCCTCCCCCCACCCCACAACAGGCCCCGGTGTGTGATGTTCCCTTTCATGTTTCCATGTGTTCCCGTTGTTCAGTTCCCACCTATGAGTGGGAACATGCAGTGTTTGGTATTTTGTCCTTGCGATAGTTTGCTGAGAATGATGGTTTCCAGCTTCATCCATGTCCCTACAAAGGACATGAACTCACCATTTTTTATGGCTGCATTGTGGAAGTCAGTGTGGCGATTCCTCAGGGATCTAGAACTAGAAATACCATTTGACCCAGCCATCCCATTACTGGGTATATACCCAAAGGATTATAAATCATGCTGCTATAAAGACACATGCACACATATGTTTATTGCGGCACTATTCACAATAGCAAAGACTTGGAACCAACCCAAATGTCCAACAATGATAGACTGGATTAAGAAAATGTGGCACATTTACACCATGTTTTGACAAATTTTTAATCTCACCTTTGAGAAAATCAATTGACAGTAAATGTTGGGATTTATTCCTGGACTCTCATCTGTTCCCTGGTCTCTACATGTATCTTCACGCTGGTGCCACATGTCCTGATAGCTGCCATTTCCTAGTATGCTTCAAAATCAGGAAGTTAAAGTCTTTTATCTATTTTTTTTTCAAAATTGATTTGGTTATTCTTGGCATTTTTCATTTTCATAAAAATATTAGGATAAGGTTGTCAATTTCTTTAAAAAGCTGTATGGAATTTTGATGGAGAGTGCATTGAATCCATATCAATTTGGAGAGAATTGTCTTCTTGATTAGCTTTCTATTGTAAGAAATTACCACAAATTTAATGGCTAAAATTAGCACAGATTTATTACCTCACAGCTCTGGAAGTCAGAAGTCCAAAGTTGGTTTCACCAGGCTAAGATGAAGGTGTTGGCAGGGTTGTATTCCTTCCACAGGCCCCAGAAGTCTTTTTCCTGGCATTTTCCATGTTCTAGAGGCACCTGACTTCTTCAGCCAGTGGCCCTTCCCTCTGCCTTCCTTCCTGTAGCTCTCCCACCTCCCGCTTTTTCCCACAGGGATCCACATGATGACACTAGACTGGCCCAGGCAATGCAGGAGAATCTCATCACTCAAAATCCTTCAGCACACCTGCAATGCCAATTTTTGCCAAGTAACATATTCAAAGGTGTCTGGGATTTGAACATGTTATCTTGTGGGGTGGGGCATTATTTTGCACATTAAATCAATGTTAAGTCTCACAATCCATGAACAGAAAATGTCTCTCCATATCTTTAAAGCCACTTTAATTCCTATTAGTAACATTTTCTAATTTACAATGCACGTGACTTGCACTACTTTTGTTAAATTTATTCCTACGTATTTCATAATTTTGGATGATATGAATAAAATTGCATTCTTAATTGCCTTTTCAGGTTGTTCATTGCTTACATATGGAAATACAATTGATTTCATATTAATTTGTATTCTGTAAACTTGCTGTGCTTTCAAAAATTAGTTTTAATAGTTGTTTGTGGATTCCTCAGGATTTTTTACGTGCAGACTCTGACATCTCCAAATGCAAATAGTGTATTTCTTTCTTCCAATGTGGGCGTCTTTTTGCCCTGTTCGCACAGGGTGTACCAGGTTGGAAAGGAGATGAGAGGAGATGTCCTTGCCTTTTTGCTGAACTCAGAGGGATGTGGTCCGTCCCCCTCCATTTAGCCTGGTGTCGGCTTGGGGATTGTATTTACATTTTCTTTATCGGTTTTTAGTTTATTAGATTCCTAGTTTGTGGAGTGCTTTTGTCATGAAAGTGTATTGAATTTTGTTCAGTGCTTTTTCTGCATCTATTGAAATGATTATGTGGTTTTTGTACAAATAGGATGCTTTACATTGATTTTTGAATGTTAAACCAACCTCTTTTCTCTGGGACAAATCCCTCTTGATCATAGTGTTTAGCCTTGTTGTAATGTGATGTGGCTTTAGTTTGCTAATATTTTGTCAAGAGCTTTTCCATTTATGTATGAGAGATATTGGTCTGCAGTTTTCTTTCTTGCTATGCCTTTGGCTTTTCTATCAGGGTGATAGACAGGTGTCCATCAGGGTGATAGACAGGTAAACAGCACAGTACACTTTCAGTCTCTTGCTAAAATTCTCAGTTGCAAGCAACAATGAGGATTTCCAAGCCTTTGATTTGATTTTAAAGCCCTGTATTACTTTTTACAAAATGCAATGAGTTCATTCAGCAGTTCTGTGTCCATCTATCTTTTGTGAAAGGTGGGCTCAACACACACACTCTCTTGTCTCATTGAATCATAGAATGAGTTGTTAATCATTCTTTTCTCCTCTATTTAATGGCAGAGTTTGTGAGATATTGATATTACATGTTTAAATATTTGATAAAAAATTACTATCTGGGTGAGACCATCTGGGCCTGAATTTTTCTTTGTCTGAAGATTTTTAATTCTTCATTCAACTTCTTTACTTGCTATACATTTATTCAGATTTTCTATTATATCTGGAGTCATTTTGCTAATTTGTTCCTTTCTAGAAATTTGACAACTATATCAATGTCGTAGAATTTATTCCCAAAATGTTGTTCAGAGAATTCTTTTGTAATTTTTAATTTCAGAGGAGTCACCGGTAATGTCTCCTCTTTCATTCATAAATTTCACTATCTGTGTCTTCTCTTCTCTGCCTTTTTTTTTCGTTTGTTTTGTTTTGTTTCGTTTGACAGAGTCTTGCTCTGTCGCCCAGGCTGGAGTGCGGTGGCCCAATCTCGGCTCACTGCAACCTCTGCCTCCTGAGTTCAAGCGATTCTCCTGCTTTAGCCTCCTGAGTAGCTGGGATTATAGGCACGCGCCACCATGCCCAGCTAATTTTCTTGTATTTTTAGTAGAGACAGGGTTTCACCATGTTGGTCAGGCTGCTCTCAAAATCCTGACCTCGGGATATGCCCACTTCCACCCCCCAAAGTGCTGGGATTACAGGCATGAGCCACCACGCCTGGCCTGTCTTTTTTTTTCTTCAAGCTAAAGGCTTATCAATTTTGTTGATCTTTTCAAAGCATGAACTTTTGGTTCCCTCAAATTTTCTCTATTTTTCTATTTCATTAATTCTTTAATCTTTAGTGTTTCTTTTATTGGCCTGTCTTCAGTTTAATTTGCTTTTCTTTTTCTAGGTTTTCAGTGCAGAAGCTCAGATTATTGACTTCAGATCTTTGTTATCTTTTCATGGAGGCATTTAAAGCTATAAAATTTCCTCTAAGCACTGCTTTAGCTTGTCCCATAACTTTTGATGTGTTGATTTTATTGTCATTTAGAAAAGCATACTTTCTAATTTCCCTTGTAATTTCTCTTTTGACTCATGAATTATTTAGAAATGTGTTGTTTAATTTATAAATACTTTTGGATTTCTCAAATTTCCTTCTGTTGTTAATTTCCAATTTAAATCAATTGTGGCCCAAGAGCATTGCCTGCATGATATCAGCACTTTCAAATGAGTCAATACTTGTTAAGTTGCCATATTAAGTATATATTTCATTTATTCTATTAGCCATTATTAGCCCTGAGATGTGATAGGTTCTTATTTATGGTTATTTTGTTAACTTCTCTCAAGCAAGCCCAAAATTAAATAACACATCACACTTTCAGTCTCTTGCTGAAATTCTCAGTTGCAAGCAACAGTGAGGGTTTCCAAACCTTCACTGTGATTTTAAACCCTGTATTATTTTTATAAAAATGGAATGGATTCTTCCATCATTTATGTGTCCATTTATCTTTTGTGAAAATTGGGCTCAACACACATTCTCTTCTAAAGCGTTTTTGCCCTGCACAGTGAATAAGCACAGAAAAAAAGAACTTGCGGAAGGCAATGTGTCCCCATCCCGTAGACTCATCTTCTCAGCCTCTGTAATGGTAAAAGATGGGACTTAAATTGCTTGCTTGTGACAGAATTCGTGTAAGCAACTAGAATACCAGGTAAGAAATGAGTTGTTCTGGGAGTTCAGAGAGTGGGTAGCAGCCGGGATTGCTGGATTTGCCAAATAAAAATACAGGATGCCCACCTAAATTTAAACTTCAGATAAACAGTCCCCCGTTTTAAGTAGGTCCCATCCAGTTCTCAGCAGCTATTTATACTAGAACAGAAGGTGCTGTTGATATGACATGAGAGCTTAGCAGGTGCTCTGTGTTGTATGTGTTGATCCCAAAGTGACTGCAAGGATGCGGCTCTAGGATAGGACAGCATCCACACTGTTCCACCCCGGCTCCCTTCTGCCCACCGGCCTCCCTTCCAATGGGCCTGGGGTCCAGCAGCCAACCAGCTAAGGTCATGGGCCCCAGAGACCACCTCCCTGGGCCAGAGCATGGCAGAGGTGGATCCTGTCTGAGAAGAGACAGGCACGCTCTGCAGAGAATGTGCCGGAGCTCATGCCCAGGCGTGGATTGATGGTCACTACCTGGCCCATTCCGCTCATTTCCAGGCAATTCCAAATAGCCTCCAAGGTGGCTGCATCATGTTGGCTTACCAACCTGGGCTGTCCCTCCACAAAGTCTATTCAACACTGCCTGGCATCGGCAGACCTTGCAGTGCTGCAGTATTAGATATAAAAGGCATCTCATCAAGCTTTTCATTTACATTTTCTGATTATTAATGATTCATATGAATTTTGGTCTTTGGAGTGACAGTTTGCAATTCTTGCCCACTTTGCATCAGTTTTTATTTCATCTTTTATTGATTTGTAGGTATTCTTTACATACTCTGAATTCAAATTTTTGTTAGTTTAAGAAGTTTCGGGTGTCTTCTCTTTTCCTTTTATTTTGCAACTTGATGAAGCGTATAGTTTGGAACTAAAGCAAGACTCCAAGGGCACCAGAAACAAGAGCTATCTTGGTCACCAGAACGGTGCTGTGCTAAGCATCTTGCAAACTGACCAACTGGCTTTAAAACAAAATGGAACTCTCCTAGGTTCTTTCTAAAGTTCCTCCCTAAACTCCCCTGTAAGTATTCCTGGATGAAGGTGCCCATGGCACTCAAGGGGTTCCCAGGGGTATGAATTATAAGGTGAACTACATTCAGGTGTCTAATAGGACCCCTGCTAAAAAGCAACCTGCACCCTGCTCTTGAGTTCAGCGGTTCGCTGGGGATGAAGGCAGACACTGGGGCCCTAGTGCAAGGGCGTCAGCACATGGCAGGTGTCAGGGAGGAAGCCAGGGTGGAGACGACACAGGGACGGCTTGGAGGGGGAGCACCTTCAGGTGTGGCCTGGAATTGTGCATGGGAATTTTAAAACTTGAAATGAAAGATGGGAGAGGGGGAAGACGTGAACAAATGCCAAATGCTTGAACATTCTGGTCACTGATAATGAAGGGCAAGAGTCAAAGTGTTTTCTGTGCAGAAAATTGAAAATATTCTTGGAAAATATATATTGAGAAATCTGTAAACCTTGACACTTCATCAAAATCTATTCCATCTGGGAGCATTTAGGGCTTTAACTTACTGACCTAAAAAATGAATTTCCTATCTGTCAGAGTTAATACTGTGACTTTTTTTTTTTTTTTTTTTTTTTTTTGAGACAAAGTCTCACTCTCACCCAGGCTGGAGTGCAGTGACACAATCATGGCTCACTGCAGCCTCGACCTCCTGGGCTCAAATGACCCTTCCACCTTAGCCCCCTGAATAGCTAGGACTACAAGTGTGCACCACCACACCCAGCTAATTAAAAAAAAAATTGTAAAGACAAGGTCTCACTATGTTGCCCAGGCTGGTTTTGAACTCCTGGACTTAAGAGATCCTCTTGCCTCAGCATCCCAAAGGGCTGAGCTTACAGGCATGAGCCACCAAGGCTGGCAATTGTAACTTTTTAAGTCTTGGCTTGGAATGTGGGGAATATTAACTTTCATGAAGAAATATAACATAGCTCATGTCAGCAGAGACACTGTTTTCAGGCTCTTCCATATAGAAATAAAATACAGAGATGAAATAGGATGTTTCTGTTGGGAAAAAGGTGACTAAGAAGTGAGAAGGAACACCAGTCCAGTTGCTAAGCTTGAGTTGAGTGTGCGTGTGTCTCTGTCCCTCCGTGCTGCTGTAACAAAATACCACAGACTGGGTAATTCACAAGTAATAGAAAGTAACTTAAAAGCAATGGAAATTTATTTTTCACAGTGCTGAAGGCTGGGAGTCCAAGATCAAGTTGCTGGCAGGGTCGGTGTCTGGTGAAGGCTGCTGTCTGTATCCAAGGTGGCCTTGGGGCGGGTGCCTGGTCCTCACTGGGTGGTAGGCGGAAGGCCTGTGGCAGCCTTAGCCGCCTTCCTCCAGCCCCTGCACAAGGCAATCATCCCTTCACTTCCCAAGGGCCCCGCATCCTCACGCCACCACAATGGGATTCAGTTTCAACATGAATTTGAAGGGTCACACGTTGAAACCACAGTAGACTCTCTTTTTTTAAATTTAGAGCTGTGCACTGTTGAGTTGATCACGATGAGAACAGTGAGTGTCTCTCACCTGTGGCTGCACTTGCTGGAAGCACCGCCTGCTCTGGCCTCTTTGCTCCAGAACATTCCCTGCTGAACAGTGACACCAGGGAAGGCCAAGGATGGGCACACAAGGCTCAGTCCTTCACCTGATGGCGGCTTGGCCATGTTCATCTTTCCCTTTTCTCAAAGACCTGTGTGGGGCCAGAGAAAGCTGGGGTTTCCGGTGGCCTGCAGTGTGGCAGAAAGCAGAGCCTTCCACTGGGAAAAGGGGAAAAAGGGAATTCTTCCGAAGAGAAGGATGAAGCCAGCAGCAGGGGTCCCGGCAGGCCTGACCCCCATGGAGCTGATGAGGCCGAGTGTCAGGAAGCACTCCCATTGTCCTCGAAAACAGACACAGGTCAACCTGCGTTACGGGGTCTGCGAGGTCATCAGATAACCCCACAGTGTCGAATACTGTAACTACATGCCTGCCTAAGATGACCTGGTATACTGTAGGTGCACACAAGATTCTCCATAGTGAAAGTACATATACAATTGTTGCTAATTTTTGATCCTAGAAAATCCACTGGATTGATACTTTAGAAGAGGATAATGGATAAAATCAATCGATCGGAAAATTCAAATATTTAGAAAATACTAGTTTCAATCTACTGTAAAAATATCATAAATTTGTACTGAACTATTTTTCCTTATTACAAAAATATTCGAGCAATAAAAATGTCGGATATTACTGTGGACTATGCTGTAATTGCTTATCTGAAAATCACATTTATGTTGATATGCGGGAACCCTTGACATTACCTTTTATGTTCCCTTGGACACTGAGGTGTTGTGTAGGGTGATTTTGATAAGCAAGTTTTATTCCTGGAATATCTGATACAGCATTTACTCCTTCATATAATGTGATCATAAAACAAGGAGACTGGTTTTAGCAGGGGTTTCTGAACACGATTTGTATGATATGCATTATCTATACTACAATGAACTTATGCCATCCTCTAGACAGACATAAGCACCTTTGGGCAAATTATATTAATTTAGTGTTCCCAAATTTTTGTAACATTTCCTGGAATAAGGAAAATGTACCATTTATAATTGTCATATGGGAGAGCACTAGATTCTTTAATATCTATTACCTTGTAGCTATAATCAGATCAAAACATTTTTAATGCAATAGGTATATTGTTATTTTTCTTTTTGAAATACATACCGACAAAATAGTGGCAAAAGATTTTAGTCTTTTCCTTAAGGTTTAACAAGCAGAGGAGCTATGGACTATAACCAAAGGGATAAAAGCGGAATTTCATCTTTTAAAAGAAAAAAAGATCAAATTACTGCCTGGGGCGGCGTTATAATGAGACGTCTCTCAGGAAGCTGAGCACATCTGCGCCCACCTTCTAACCTCCACGGGACGGCACAGGCCACAGCCCAGCCGTGAGCTCCAGCCCTGGAAAGAGTCGCTCGTGCGGACGAGGATAATTCAGGGAAAAGTGCCTGGATGGAAAACTCATCTTCCAAATCTAATTAACACAGACTTATTTTTTATTAACAGGAAGACCAGAGGCAGAATGATGAGGACTTCAGTTTCTGTCCTTACATTCCTGGGGGTGGGGATGGCTTGGGTTTCTCCGCAGATGAAAAATGATGCGAAAACATGGGTTGGAGGAGGAGGTTTTGCTCCCTCCCCTGTCACTCATAACAAATGCTGATGTGAAGGTTGTTCTTCCGAAGAGCTTTACACTGTGATAAGCAGATAGTGTGAGGTCGTGTCTATGATGACACCATAGGAGGGAAAACAAAAGCCCTGGAGTGCCTGGTGTCCCAGCTAAGAAGACGGCCGTCTCCAGGCTGCCTACTGTGCGAGTCGGTGAATCAAACGCTGGTTTCCAGGGGAAAACGACGTTTTCCTGAAGCAAAAAGAGGAACTGGCCATGGGCATGGGGGTGAGTGCAGGTGGGGTCCATTCCACACCCCTCGGCTCTCCCCTGCGTGGTGCCTGCTCGGGTTGTGGAAGAGAGTGAGTGTCTACTGGCAAACACGGGGCCTACTGGATCTTGTCCCATTGCTATGTTTTGTAACTGGACAGACTGACGCCACTCCTGCCCTTGCTGGGCTCCCCTCACCAGCAAATGCACTGTTGCCTGTTGCAGGACCAACTCACGTCCACAGAGCCGTGCACAGGGACCTCGGTTGTTCTGATAGCTTGAGAAATTCTTCCAAAGTTTGTAATTCTGAAGGCCTCGTGCCGACAGAGCCAGTGGGCAGCCCTGCCAAGTTCCCTAAGGCCCCAGGAGGACACACGGGGCCTTCGGAGTCCTGTGGTCCTGGACACAGGAGGGCGGCAGCCTTCTGCTGAGCCCAGCACGTCATCGTGTTTATGTCTCTGCAGAGGAAACACAGCAGCCTTAGCAGGATCCTGGACCCTGGTGTGCACACTGCACTCGGGGTCACTCCTACCCTTTATCGGGTGATTTGTGGATGCCCAGCTTCACCCAAGGCTGTCCTGTGGCTGCAGGATGCCTGCTGTCCCCCTCAGCCTGTGGGGCCCAGGAGGTCAGAAGGTGCTGGCTGATGTATCCCTGTGATCAGGGCTCTGTGGGGAATCTCTGGGGGTCTCAGTTGCCCCACATGGATTCGGCAAGCCCAGAGTCAGCGTCGCCTTTTGGGGCAGATGCTGCCTGTCCTGTGTCAGCCCCCATGGCCCCCTGGGCCCCCTAAACCTGGGTGCTGGCTGCGGGCTGTCTGGCGACCTGCAGACTGAGCTGCCTGTGATGACCAGATGTGGTCTCATTCTCCAGGCCATGACGTGGGATGGCCCAGGCAGGTGTCCTGATCCACTGTACAGGGTAGAGGGTGGAGCTGGCAGCCTCAGTTGGTTTAGGGATGGGAGCCACATCCACCTCTGCAGCCTGACACAGTCAGGGGCTCCTGGGACCACCTACCAGGGAGCACTCGGCCTCTGTGCATACCTGGATAAGCACCATATGCTGTTGCTCATGAAGAGTGGACCGTTCCCACTCCAGACGGCCCAGAGCACACAGAGAAAGGCCATGTCCCAGAGGTCAGGTTCGTGAGCCCAGCGTTGGGCCCTCCCAGGAACTGACAGACTTTTAGAGACCATGGGTCTTCCCTGCCTCCCATTCCCACCTGAGACAGCCGAGGAAGGGCCCAACTGACCGCAGGGCTGAGAACACTTACTTCAGACCTTTCACAGCCACCTCCAGGAAACAGCAAGACAGCCCTGAACTGCCTTCCAGTGCCGGGGAGCAGGGCTGCGGGCTGGGGAGATTTGGGACAGGACACGCAGGGCCGTGATGTCCGGACAGATGAGGCACCGTCGACGTCCAGACACCACTCAGAAGGAGTTTCAGGAGGACACTGGGGAGGCCAGAGCCACAGCCGTGGTGGCCCGAGGCCCAGCTGGGAAGCGTCCGGGATGGGGAAGGGTTTCCACAAAGAAACTCAGCCCGGAGGGCTCTGCTGTGACTCCTGCCAAGATAGGAATGAAATGATGCCCATGCCCCATGAATTCCTTCACAAACTCAAGGAGAAGGACCATTCCCCCACTTATGCAATCCAGCCAGCATCACCCCGATACCAAACCCAGAGGCAAGAGCGGCTGCGCAGCAGCCTTCGTGAACACAGATGCTGGGCTCATAACCACAGGTTTCGATCCAGCAGGGAACACAGCTCCTCGCTTGGTTGAACATTCAGGTGACATTGATGGATTTGTCCTGTTTACAGAAAGAGAAACCCGTGACTACCTCAGTACATGCAGAAAACACATTTCACAAAATCAAACACTGACTCAAAAAACAAACAGGTGCTAGCAAACAAGGACTAGAACGAGGGAGCTTCCTCAAGCTCCTCCAGGGCCTTGATGAAAACCCTAGAGCCAGCGTCCCACGTAGCATGGGATGGAGGGGTTCCCTGCAGTCCGTCTCCCTCCCAGGAGCCTCACGCCGGACGTCCTGCCCAGGGTAATGAGGCCGGGAGAAAAAGACCAACAGCTGCCTCCATTCAGAAGACATGCTTGTCTACGCAGAGAATCACAGGGAATTTAGGAAAAAGCTACTAAGATAAGTACATGAGTTTAGCAAGTTTTCAGGACACTCAGCCAATACCTAAAAATAAGTTGAGTTTTTACGTAATAGCAACAAGTGATTGGAAATTGTAACTTTTAAAAAAATTACCATTTATAAGAGCACCCAAAATATGAGATATTTAGGGTTATTTTTACATTTACTTCTGTCAGTACCCCCCGCAGCTGCCAATGGCCGGAGAATAACTTCGTGTTATTTTACCAGCTGGGAGACTGTTATTCTACACAAAGCAAAGTTGAACTCCAAGCCCATGTGAGGGCTGATCTCCACTTATAAATGCACGACAGCAATGTCTCATTTCCACCTCTAAGTACTGGCCAACTTCTGTGATGCCTTCCTTTCCACTAGGTTTTTTTTTTTTTTTTTTTAATTCACACTATCACTGAGACATCTCTTCATGAACCGTGGCTGTATCTGTGTTGCAACTCAAATGTGGTGGCCATTCAAATCGCCACCCTCTGCATAATTAAAAGCAACCCAGGGAGAACAACTACTGTGAGGGATTATGGAGGTTTTCAAAAAGCTATGGTGAGTTTTAAGTCACATTTGGATATCTACTTTTTGTAGATTTTATTTTTTCTCAAAAACCTTGTTATTTGTAGTTATTTATTATACACTTCTACATACTAATACATGATTGTTTAGATATATATCTGGTATGTATTTAGGAGTAAATATTTTAGTTTAGAAGTATAAAATAAAAATAATAAAACAATTGTAAACCTGGTCACAATTCTAAATTTGAGAGCGAAAGAAACATGAATGGTAAAAGATAGAATAAGATAAATTTATGCATTTCTTTACTTCATTCACGATGTTGGGCACAGTAAGTTATTTGAATGAGAATGAGAATTAATTCCTTCACATTTTGAGAACTAAAAATAAGGAACATTCTCATCCAGAATAGTGACTTAAGTGCTTTTACAACCACCCCCGCATTTAATAATTAAGCAGGTGAGGTTGGCTGAAGTTAAAATGTATTTTTGGCCTTTTTATTAAGATGATGATGCCGCTGTGTATTTCCATGAGCGATGAAGAAGACGCCCATGCCTTATTCCAGGTGCTGATTTGGAAACTGTTCATTAAAACTTTCATGCTGTTCCTATAATTGTCCCTCTCACAGTTTTTTCTTTAATCCACTCTGTCATTTCTAAATAATGAAAAGGGTTTTAAAACTAGTGAATAATCAGGCCCTGTGGAATCAGAGGTGAGCACAACATGAAAATGACTGCGTTGGATTCACACCAGATTCATTTCAGATCCGTCATGTTCCTCAATGCTGCACTTGCTGTCGTGATTTTTAGGAACAAAAAAGTGAGGGGAAGAGTCTCACAACTCCCAAACGCACTGGGTTTTTCCAAGCACGGTGACACACACAGCTAGGTGATTAGCTATTAATTATCTAACTGAGGTGAAGGGCCTTCTTTTGGGAAGAAAATGCCTTGTACTGGCTGTGGAACATTGATTCACTCCCTGGAAATTTTTGTAAATTCAGTTTCAATTTTTTTTCGGTGTAATGTAACAGTAAGGCAATTTATTTTCATATTATGGATCTATAAGGGGAATGTGGCTGCTGGAAGCTGTAATCGGTTATCAGGCTTAATTGATGTTCATGGGGGCAGAGTCTTACATATTTCCGAGGTGTGGCTACTTTTAAAAATACACCCGCCAGCGGAGCATCCCCTTCCAACAGACTCCAACAGACCAATAATAACCCCCTGGCAGTGATGGCTCCTCAAGCTCCTGATGCAGCCTGGAGGGCTTTTTGGCTGGAGCCTCAGGCAGGCCTGAAAGGAAGAATTCCGGGCCCCCCAGGGATCACTGCTTCCTGCTGAGTCACTGCCCAGCCACACACCTGCCAGCCAGAAGGGCCCTTTCAGACCGTCACAGGCAGGCCCCTGCCTCCACACCACCTCAAATACCATCACACGTGGACTGTAATCCTGAAAACAGCCTCTATGATACCCCCTCTCCTTTGTCCTTTTCCTTAAAGGCTCAGATCTCTCTTTTGTTCTCCAGGACGTTTCTCAAGGTACCCTGAAACTTTCCTGCCATCCCTCTAATTTGGCTCGAATAAACTCTTCATTGTTTAAGCTGCCTCAGTTATTTCAGGTCCACCTAAGCTTCCCATCCTCAGTGCTTTCCACAGTGCCAATGGCCAGCTTTCTAGAACACAACCTCACCTCACTTCCCCTCCTCAGACCCCGTGCAGCCCACTCCTGCCTCTCGGGTGCACCAGGCTGGGGGTCACACGGTGCCTGCTGGGTGGGTGAGCCAGGCTGGGGGACAATGTGTCTGCTGGGTGGGGCTCCATTCTAGGGGTCACAGGGTGCCTGCTGTGGGGAGGCAGGATGGGGGCCAGTGTGTCTGCTGGGTGGGGGCACCAGACTGGGGGACAGTGTGTCTGCTGGGTGGGGCTTCAAGCTGGGGGACAGTGTTCCTGCTCGGGGGGCAGCCTGGGGGACAGTGTGTCTGCTGGGTGCCAGGCTGGGGGTCACAGGGTGCCTGCTGGGTGGGGGCACCAGGCTGGGGGACAATGTGTCTGCTGGGTGGGGCACCAGGCTGGGGGACAGCGTGCCTGCTGGGTGGGGGCACCAGACTGTGGGACAGTGTGTCTGCTGGGTGGGGCTTCAAGCTGGCAGAGAGTGTTCCTGCTTGGGGGGCAGGCTGGGGGACGGCGTGTCTGCTGGGTGGGGCATCAGGCTGGGGGACAGTGCCTGCTGGGTGGGGTTCCATTCTGAGGGTCACAGGGTGCCTGCTGGGGGGAAACAGGATGGGAGCCAGTGTGTCTGCTGGGTGGGGGCACCAGACTGGGGGAGAGGATGCCTGCTAGGTGGGGGCGCCAGGCCTGGGGGACAGGGTACCTGCTGGGGGGGCACTGGCACCAGGCTGTGGGCATGGGAGCCCGTGTTCACACCAGGTACACGCCTCACGCTCCACCAGCAGTTGGCCCTCTTCACATGTGTTTCTTCCTTCAAAAGACAATTATTAACTAAAGTGCTGGAGATAAGAGGTGAGCCAGACACCCCAAGACCCATCCTTTCATGCAAGTGTGGTGTGGACAAACCCCAACGAAACTCTCAGAGTGACAATGAGCACAGGCAGCAGGAACATCCAAGGCTGCACACAGTCTCCTCGGACAGAAGCCCTTGGAAGCCACACATTTGTCTAATTAAGAGGATGACATTGTTGTCTTTAACCCAACAGTGCGGGAGCACAGAAGCTGCCTGTTTGTGCACTGACTGTGTGAGCACGTGTGTGCTGCAGCCGGGGATTTTCACTTGGATGCTCCCTCAGCAGTTTCCTCCAAGGTACTCAGATGCATTCACCATTTAAGAAAATGATTTTTTTCTACATTTTTTCATAAGTGAAGGAAATTCCACATAGGGCCTGAGCTGATGGTTAACACAGTTCTAATCACCATGCGTGGTTGACCTGGGACGGGCCACATCTTTCTCAGATGTTGACACCGTTCACTCATTTAGTGCTCTTACCACCATCTCTGAAGTAACACGGTGCCCTTTTTGGGCTGATAAAACTCAAACAGAAGATGTACTCTGCCCAGGATCACAGACGGTAATAACAGAGTCAGGAATTCAACCTCTTCTGGAATTAAAAACCTGTGGTTCTTCTGGTTATATTTTAGATCAAAGTAAGCAGCGTTGGAGGCCTGAAATGCAGCGACTGACCACGGTCTCACAGATCCCACACCATCAGCCCCTCTTCTCTTAAGGACCGTGATATACAAAGAGTGGGGTTTTAGGGAATGTCACTCCTAAAGTGTCCATTCAGCTTTTAGAGATATTTGCCCCCACACGGGTTAATGAAGTCAAATGGCATAAATTAGCTGCCCGGAGCCTTGGCCGGCCCACACTGCGGTGGGAACCTGAGGCAGCACCCGGTCCCACAGCACCAGCTGGTGTCCTGGGTGGTCACCCTCCATTGTCCAGACCCAGCTCCTGGGCCCCCGCTCTGAATTTCCTTGCTGTGTCCCGTTTACGCCTTTCTTCCCTCCTGCTTTTCTTCTTAATTCAGTGCCGGGTCCAGGGCATTGCTGTCCTTTGGGAAATGGGGTGGTTTATGCTCTAGGGTTCCATGAACTGCTTCTCACCTGTTGTTGGTGGCCGTGTCTCAGGGCCTTGGATAAAATGCAGAGTCCTCGAATTCACGTGCTATTTCTCGCCGGTTTCTCTTCAAATGATTCTTTCCCTGCCATTTTCCATATATTCTGTGTATACATCCTAACACGTGAAATTCCAGAATTTACCCTCCGTCTCAGACACTCTTTAACTTTCACACACCATCTCGTTTTCTAGTCAGACTTCCAGAAACAAATTGGTGTTGACCTACCATTAAATTAAATATCTAAATAGCAGACCCACAATTTTCATGGATAATTTCATATGAGACTATTAAATAGTTAAATTAATTCAGTTTAAAGATGAATATTGGATAACTAGGAATATGCCAGGTGTACAAGGAAGACAACGTTGTGAAGATCCTTAAATGCTGAAGGCCTGACAGTTGCTGAGCAGCAGGCACCTCTCTGAGCTGGCTCATGGTCTGGGTCTCCAGAAAAGCCACCCTGACCCTGCGGCCTCAGAGGTGATCTCCCCAGCCTACCCCGAGCGAAGCAGCTCTGGTGGGCTCACTTGCATGGCTGGCTGCACTCACCCTCACTGGTGAATCCGACACCGGGTCACCTGTCCACCCAGGAGCCCGTGTGGCTGTGGAGCCGGGCTGGGCGTTATGCTCACTTGCACGGCTGGCTGCACTCACCCTCACTGGTGACTCTGACACCAGGTCACCTGTCTACCCAGGAGCCCGTGTGGCTGTGGAGCCGGGCTGGGCGTTATGCTCAGAGCAGCCTGTGTAGGGCTGCTTTGACTTCTCAGGAGGTCATTGGTCAACTTTCCCATGCACTGTTGATGGAGGGTCTGTGTCGCGTCAGCTGCTGAGCTGGGCTCCATCCTCGGTATGTTAGAGAGCAACACGGAGAAGCTGCCCTGTGTGGATTTGAGAAGACACTACCCTGAATAGATAGGCACAGCAGGAGATGCATGAGAAATAGACTTTGGAGTCCATTCTTGGAAAGGGTATTTAATCCCCACCTCTTTTTCCCATGGATGAGAATGGGTCCCGCCCTGGAGTCCTGGGAAGGGCAGAACACAGGACCCTGGGCTCTGGGCAGATGGACAGACAGCAGGTTATTAATCACAGCCCTGGGCAGGAGCACTGCAGACCACCTGAGGGTGCCTCGGGAGCCGTGTGAAGAGACAGGGCCTCGGGAGGCAGGCTTGGTAGTAACAAGACGGGGAGGCAATGCCTGGCTCCTGAAGAATGATGGAATTGACTGACTTGAACAGTTTTGCCAGCCGGCCAGGAGCTGAATGAGGCTCTCTGCTCAGGTGGAGCTGGTGCCTGGTCCCTGGGAGGAGGGGGGCATTTGTCTATGGGGTCTCACCCAAGGGAGCAGAGTGTGGAGGGGACAGTGGCAAGGTCATTTGGGGCCTCTTGATTTCCCCTGATGCCAAAGCTCACATAATATTGAACCTTAATCTTAGATCTTAGAAAACCATGTGACTGAAGCCTTGGGGGCTAGCTGAGTTCTCCAGGGAATGAATGGAGTTGGCCTGTGCACAGCACAGATGTACACTGTGCAGGTCCCTTACATGTCTGTTTTCTACCTGCTCCACCACCTCTGAATCAGCCATACTGACCTCTCCTCTCCCACAGCACAGATGTATGCTGAGCAGGTCCCTTACACACCTGTTTCTACCTGCTCTACCACCTCTGAAACAGCCACATTGACCCCTCTTCTCCCCCCTCCTCCTCAGCCTGCTCAACAGGAAGACAAGAATGAAGACCTTTATATGGTCTACCTCCACTTAATGAATGGTGAATGTACTTTCTCTTCCTTATGGTTTCCTGAATATCATTTTCTTTTCTCCACCTTCCTTCTTTGGGAGAATACAGTAGATAATGCATAGAACATAGAAAATATGTCTTCATCAGCTTTTTATGTTGTCAGTAAGACTTTGGTCAACAGTAGGCTATTCATAGTTACATTTTGGGGAAACAAAAAGTTATATGTGGATTTTCAACTGTGTGAAGGCTCAGCACCCCTAAGCCCCAAGTTATTCAAGGGTCAACAGTATAATTATCATCCCAAGAGTTTTTGGAAGTTTCACAACTTTAGCCTATCTGATATCTGTGGAGCCCCTCTGTTCCAGACTGGAGCTCTAGATATTGTGGGGGAGAAAGTGTGCTCTTTGTTATTTTATAAAAGGTACTCAGAGAAGATCTCATGCAAAAGATGTTATTGGGGTTGAAACCTCAAAGGATGCCAGCATGGATTCAGGAAAAGATGGTGCCCAGAAGAAGAAATGACAAGTGAGAGGGCCTGAGAAGGAAATGTGCCCAAGGAACAGAAATGGGGGTGTTGCCATGGCACAGAGTGGGAAGGGAGCCTCAGAGGCCACGAAGACCACACTGGGGCCTCTGCTGTTACTCTGAGTCACACAGGAAGCCATGGGCCGGGATGTAAAGAAAAGGCATCTTTATAAACACTCACTTCCATCTCTTCACTCATCCTTAAAATATTTTATCTTTGCCTTTGAAAAACCCTTTTTTCCCTGAAATCCAAGCTAAAACCTCCCTTACAATCAAATTTTATATCTTTGTGTATTTACTTACTTACTTATTTTTCGAGACAAGGTCTCACTCTATTTTCCAGGCTGGCTGGCTAGCTTACTGCAGCCTTGAACTTCTGGGCTCGAAGAATCCTCCCCCTCAGCCTCCTGAGTAGCTGGGACCAAAGGCACATGCCACCATGCCTGGGTAATTTTATTTGTTTATATTTTTTGTAGAGATGCAGTCTCGCTTTGTTGCCCAGGCTGGTCTTAAACACCTGGGCTCAAGCGATCCTCCTACTAGGCCTCTAAAAGTGCTAGGATTATAGGTATGAGCCACCTCACCTGGCCTATAATCAAATTTTAGTATCCATATGACAAAAATAAAACTTTTCATAACATCTCTAATACTTTGTGTTCTCTACTGTTTCATAGTCAATGTAATTTATCTTGGTGTGGTCATTAAATGCATGAAATTCTTCCCTAGAAGACCAAGAAAGTCAGCCTGCCTGGTGATAATGAAACAAGGGTGATGCAAAGTTAAGGTAAATAAATGAGATCATGAAAATCATAAATTGTTACAAGGATTCAACTGTAAAGTTCTCCTATCAATCTCTAGCACATAAAAGTCCTTACTTTAAGTAATTATCACTGTATTAGTGTATTATCATGCTGCTAATAAAGACATACCCAAAATTGGGTACTTTATAAAGCAAAGAGGTTTAATCGACTCACAGTTCAGCATGGCTTAGGAGGGTCAGGAAACTTACAGTCATGGTGGAAGGGGAAGCAAACACGTCCTTCTTCACATGGTGGCAGGAGAGAGAAGTGCCAAGCAAAGGGGGAAAAGTCCCACGTAAAACTATCAGATCTCATGAGAACTCACTCATTATTACGAGAACAACATGAGGGTAACCGCCCCCCTGATTAAACTACCTCCCACTGGGTCCATCCCAAGACATATGGGGACTATAGGAACTACAATTCAAGATGGGATTTGGGTGGGGACACAGCCAAACCGTATCACTCACTAATACTAGTGATCTCACCAGGATTAACTGCCAGTCACCACGCCCATGTCTAGTGGAAGGTTCTTTCACACGATGCTTCTGGCTTCTGTACTTCCTTCTGCCCTTCCCACCCCTGAGACATGACGGGTTCTGTGGGAGTCTGAACAGGACGGCATCTGGGAGTCCTTGGGTGTGGATTCACCGTTTCACTTAAATACAAACCCCTGCCGTGTGGCAAATCATAACCAGGCTCATTATCACAGCACTGCAGTCATCAGGAAGCAATTATGAAAAGGTCGATAGAGTTTGTAGCGTTAGATGATGTCAAATATCCTGGTGGGAATGCGAATTTTTGAATTTACTAACTGTCCATGAGACCCTGAGGTACTATTTTTTAAAAATGAAAGGAAGCACAGTGTGGTCACTCAGCCCTAGTTATCTAAGGGACTTGGTCTTATAAGAGTAAATGTTAATTCATGCCCAATTTTAACTTAAATAATCACAATATCACATGAAATTTGTACCATAGATTCATAACTCAGTAATATCCATTAGAGTTGACTCTATTAAGAAGAAAAAATGTGTTTAAGCCTAAGATTTACAGAGCTAAATAATGAATTTCTCTGCTACCCCAAGTGCATCCTAAAAGACAGGTTTGCGGAAGCCAGCACAGTGTCCCAGGCGTGAATCAGCCTTGGGGGCCTCTGTGGTTTCTGGCTATCGAGCCACAAAATATGTTTTCAGTATTTGAAATCTATTTTCCAAAATCAGCAAAGGTAACCAGTGAATGAAGTTCCAGAACACGTGACTCTGAAGTAAAAAGAGGCTTTGGTTTCATTAATATAATTTATATGAGGCTGGGAAACCATTTATCAGTCTGTCACATGTCAAATTTAAGTTTAATTTATTGGGAAAAGAGTTAATGGATTGGAATACAACTCCATTTATCAAATCATCATTAAATTTAAATCCTAGATTAGCTATGGATCAAAGAATTCAGCAGAAATCAATGAAATCTTTTTGTGAGAATCAACTAGCTTTGGAATTTACAGAAATTATTTAAATGTTTACAATGTATTATTTGTGAATTGCCTGCTGTGGCTGCTTTGCGTCACCCACAGGATTTGGTTGGGAGAGTCGTTAAACCCGCAAAGGCAAACTGCGAGGGTGGGAGGTGAGGCAACCAGAAGGCCCCTGCTGTGGTGGTTCCCGGGGATGGGGCCAGCAGATGGGGATCACGTGGTGCAGGCGTGGGTACCTGCAAGCCGCAGGGGTTCAGGCTCTGAATAGACTAGAAGTTTCTTCTAGTTAAACCACAGATGTTCTTGTATTTCTCAGTAGATGCTGAGCTAATGTTGCAGGAAGAGTGCCCGAAATATTTAGGAAACTATAATAAAAAAAGCTCTGTAACCCTGGATATCTGAATAGGTTCACTGTTCGTATTTTCATTTCCTCTCCTTAAAATAAGTACATGAAATAGAAAACTTTTTGATTGTAACAATCTCCTTTACTCCCCATCCTTGCTCTTCTAACCATCATTACTAGGACCAGGGCTCATTAATTCTTATTTTAGGATCTGACTTGCCTTTTTAAACCAAAGGCAATCTTTTTCCAGGTCCAAACAAAATAAAAGCCTCTCCGACCTGCTGTCCTGCTGCCTTAGGTCTGTGTCTTCCTTCGCAGATCCTGGGACCTTGCTATTGTTTTTCATTGTATTTTTTCTCTGTAACTTGGACCTTGCCTGCTTTTCCTACCCCACACCCAACCTCCTGCCCACTGGATCCTCTGTGGCTATGGCAAGGCTATGCGTCCTCATGGTGGACTCTCATGGACCCTGGATGGGTGTCCCACATCCCAGGACTTGGTGTCCCTTGTGGGCAAGGAGGGTCCTTGGTCCCTGGAAGGTTCTGAACCTCCCTGATCCTCAGTGCCCTGCTCTGCAAGACGCTGCCCACAGCGACCACCCACGTTCCTGTCTTGCTTGTATCCTTGGTGGTGCATTTTACAGATAACACATCTCTCTGATAAATGGTGGCACATTCTCCCCTTGAACTGGTTGAAACCCTGGCTAAGGAAATACCGACCTTACTTTTGGCTTCTCTTGCTGGCTCACCTTGGGCCCTCAGTTCCCAGTAAGGAACTTCAGTTTTCCTCTCCTGCACCTCTCAGCTGGCGTGGCCGTGATGCTACTGTCTGAGGCCTGGTCAACCTGCCCCTGGTGGGGTCTGATTGTCGCCCACCTACTCACTGGCCATCCCGAGGGCCCACTCCAACCACAGGTGCCGGGCCTCAGACCAACCCCGGTGAGAGCTCAGTCCAGCTTCCTCGCCTTCCCCAAGGCCAACACCATGGTCCTGTTGCCTGTGCTGACCTCTCCTCCGTGGCCTGCTCCAGGGACACAGACAGTGACACATCCCCTTGAGAGAAAGCAGCTGAACCCAGACCTCCGACAGCCCCACCCCAGCCTGGAGCATTTTTCATTTCTAAACTCTGGTTTCGTGATGTTTACTCACAAGTCATGCAATCGCATGCAGTGTTTTCATTCTGTGTAGGAAGCACATCATTCATATTCTGAAGCAGATAATTGAGTCCAGTGAGCAATGGTGACAATCAGCCTCCTGCTGCCGCCTCCTGCTTCAGACCTGCTCGTGGTGGACTCCATCCACTCAACAGACATTTCCCTCTTGGTGGAAGAGGTGGCAGCTTGTCTTCATCAGCAAAACTGTTAGCCTATGGAGAGATTGTAGAGCCTGATACCAGCATTTCTGTCCTGTGGCTCTGGTGTTGGAAGCTCGGGGGATTGGCGATGAGTGCATGGGGGCTGCAGGTCTCTGACCTGGTCTGGCTTTCCCAGCACCTGACCGAGGGTGACTGTGGCATCCTGTTGCATAGGTGAGGGCACCGGGGTGCAGAGCAGTGAAACAGCAGCAGCAGCTCGCTCCGTAGAGACACAGAGAGGCCCAGGGCTCCTCCCAGGCTTTCCTCTCAGCTGCTGAGCCACTCACTGCCTTCCTCTGCCTCAGTCTCCTTGGTAGGTACAGGGCGGAGAGGAGTAAGTATCTTACTGAGAGAGAGCCAGGTAGGACACCCTGCAGAAGGAAATGAGGTGGCCTCATTGAACACTGAGCATAAACCAAGCACGTGCTCCAAATACACTAATGCAGCACCCACATGCACACACACATTCATACGTGCACGCACGTACACATGTACACACATGCACACACATGTACACTCATGTATACACATACATGCACAGCAATGCACATGTTTGCACATGTACATATCAGCACAGACGTGCACAGCCATGTACGTGTATTGAATGCACATGTACACACATTCACATAAGCGTCCACACATGAGTGTACATTGCATATATTACACATGTAAGTAAAATCTCTCTGTAATCATATTTCTTTTGAGCTTAATTTTATTAGCTTAACATTTTAAATTTTATTATTGTAAAATAAAATATTGGTGTATACGATTCCTTTGTTAGAAAAACATCCAACACTTAATGTTCCAACTATGTACTGCTGTATCACAAATCTTAGCCAAAACTTAGTGGCTTCACAAAAGTCCAATCATTTATTTTGTCTGCAGATCTGAAACCCAGAGAGCTTCTGTCCGGGGTGGCTCATCGCAAGCCAGGCCTGGTCACTGGAGCTGGAGGGTGCAGGGCCAGGATGGAGGCCCTCAGGAGATGCAGGTCCGGCTGCTGTCCTGGGAGCTCAGTTTAGCTTGAAGGGCCCAGTCTTTTCCATGGGTCTCCTTGTGGCTTCCAAAAGCAAGTGTTCCAAGAGGTGGGAGAGGAAGCTATGATCTCTTAGGAGCTGAGCCTGCAAACTCAAGCCCGGCATGTCCTTCAGTCAATAACCCCAATACTCAGCAGTGACAATTTCGCAGGAGCCGGCCGAGCTCAAGGGCAGGGGACATAGACAGCATCTCTCAAGGAAAAAGCAGTGCCAGCCATCTGTGACCACTGCAGTGAACCACATTTAGAGATGTAGTGGGGCAGAAAAGCACCCTGTAGTATTTTCTAAGAGTGGGTACTTTTTTTTTCCAAGTCAAGTTTTTAAAAGACCAAGTCAATATCAAGGCTAGAATCAGTGAAACATTCACAAAGGTAGGCATGTTCCAATGCTTCTTAACAAGTTCTATCTTTCTGGCCCAGAGTAGAAAGCACCAAGTCTCCCAAACATGGTACCTGCTACACTGTGTTAGAAAATGGCTCCAGGGTCTTTGGCACATGGTGGAACCAGCCCATTAGAGGACCACCTGCTGAAAACCCTGACCACACAGCAGCAAGACGGTGAAGAATATTGGCCCCCACACGTGGACAAGAGTCAGATACACTGACCGGCAAAGACTGGACAGTTAAAGGCTCTGGAATGAGACAGAGTCCAGGCCTGGCAGGATGTCCGAGGTGTGGGAGCTGCAGGCTTCTTCTGTCTCTGAAGCTTGTCCATCTGGAGCCCCTGTCTCATTGCCAGCTTTGCCAGCAGCTGACTCTGGCTCTGTTACATTCCTCAGAACACCCAGGAGCCCTGAGTCACTTGCCTTAAAGCAAGACAGACCTGACAAATGCCATTCAGCTTCCAAGGAGCTGAAAATTGACCACAGCCTTGTTTTTTGAAGACATGGTTCTCAAACGAAGTTTCTACACAGTAAATAGAGCGCAGATTTTTGCAAGACTATTGAGTTTTCAAACATAACCTCGTGCTCATGAACTCACTCTAGTTTTATAACAGCCCAGGGAAGGAGGGACTCCAGAGTGAATGAACTGGACAGTACTGGACATTCCGATCATGCCCTGTGGGGGCCATGTCCCGCATACCCAAGGTCCTTCTGGGAAAACCCAGGGATGCGGTCTCTATGGCTGTGTCCATGTTCCTCCTACAGGTGAGTGAGTGACCCGTGCTGTCACCACTGGGGTCAAATGGTCAAAGCCATAGCCTGAGACCAATGAGACAGGCGTGGGACTGCATGTGAGGACCAGCATAATTCTCAGATTGGTTCGGAAGGCAAACTCTGGAGTTTCTGGAATTCGATTCAAACTGTGGATTTGGCACTTACTGCAGCGTTCGAAATGGCCCCTAACCACTCCATCTTCACCTTCTCTCCTGCAAGGCAGCACCAGAACCCAGGGTTACCCCTCCATCTTCACCTTCTCCCCTGCAAGGCGGCACCAGAACCCCGGGTTACCCCTCCACCTTCACCTTCTCCCCTGCAAGGCGGCACCAGAACCCAGGGCTGTCCTGACGATCCCCTGGTACAGTGCATAGAAAGTGCTTATCATCCCGGGTAGGCCAAGTAAACTCCAAAAAATGAAACTCATTCTCATCAGTTAAATGTCCAGAAATTTGGCATCTTGACAATATTGAGTCTCAGAATTGAGCCTCACTTCCTATAGCCACAGAATTGAGCCTCACTGGCCATAGTCACAGAGTATCTCTTCACTTATTTACTTACAGAAGACATTCAAGCTATAATGTTTTGTAAGAAAGCAAATAAAACACAAAGCAAAGCACTGTAATCCTAAATACACACACAGTCACACACTTGCACACGCACATTTGCACACATGCATACACATTTACACACATGCACATACAGGCAGAAGGGGAAAGAGCTCACCCCAGGTTACATCTGCACAGTGGTGTGCAGGTGGAGGGTATCTTGTATTTTCCTATGCTTTCTAACTATTACAAAATAAACCCATGTGACTTTTATCATCAGGAAAAAGAAACTGTAACAAAATGATTTCGCTTTAGTGGTGTAAAAAATATGACTGTGGATTGAATAGCAATGACCCAAACATATTCTCAGATTTCAGTATGCTTCACAGAAGCCTGTTTCTCTCTTAATTCTTCCTCCTTTAAATTCCTCTGAAGTTAGAATTCTTTCATCCTTAGCCTCCACTCACTTTCATGACCTAATCATATAACATCAAAGCGCTTGTCAATTTCCTGTGACCCTCGAGCCCTCTCTTCATGAACCAGGCCCTCCATTGCCTGCTGTGCACTTGCTCCAGCTTCACTTGGAGTCACAGAGCGTGGCGAGGTCACTTCTAATTGAACCCCGGCTGCTCATTTTTTTTTTTTTGTCATTGACTTTTTTTAGTGATTCCAATTAGATTTGATGCTTATTGACAGAGTCTGCTGTATTTTTCTTATGAGGAAGAATATATGAGAAGTGGATGCTTTTGATAATTTTGATGAAATTAATGCTTAAAAACAACATGGTTATTTAGTTAGACATGGGTTACATTGCTACAGTCTCTCTGAGTTTCCCCTACACTGTCATTATTTTGCCTGCACTAGAGCTGGTAGTTAATTAATTATAAAACCATATGTATAATTTAATTAATCCTTATTGTCTAGTGGGTTTTAGTCATTGTCCCTTTGTTTTTTTCTGTCATTAGTTGGCTTAGTTGCTGAGAGATTATATGAAACCCCGCACACGGTAGGCCAGTCTTTAGCGGATAGAAAAATGAGTAAAAACATGTTGCCTCCTGTTCTCTTCTGCATACCATGGATTTCTGCTTGAATTGCAGTTATCATTTGAAGAATATAAACATCGTATTTCCAAAAGCTAGATCTCTAAAGATACTCTGATGTTAAAATCAAATAGATGCATATACATGTACATATACATGTGTATCTGTGTGCATTTCTCTATGTATGTATCAATACATATTACATATTCACCCTGCAGATGCCATCAACAATAAAAACAAAATATCTCAGTCCTAGCATTAAAAAATAGAGATTTTAAATGCACACATAAAATATTTATCTATTCTTTGAAACTGAGTACTTTTTGAAGAGATATGATAGAAGGAAAAAAAGATCCCACAACCTTTTAAAGAAAATTACTTCTTTAAGGTGCCTAGAAGAATGACAGGTCTATACTTTTAAAAACAAAATTATGAAAATTGCCTCTATTTCTGAGACAGGCTAAAATTAAGATGACTTTGAAAGCACTTCAAACAGTTTTCAAAATTCTTTTAGGAGAAAGCCCTCATTACTAAAGTAAAACAGCTTTATTGGGCACTCTCATCTTAAAAGCATGCTGTTTAAAAATTAAACCTACACTGAGCTGAGGGTGTGTGACTCCTGGTCTCAGGGGTCTTGAGGCCCCAGTCCTGTGAAGACGTCCAGGGGAGTGTTCTGAGCCTGGTGTGGGTGAGCCCTGCTGACCTGGGTGGCTCCTGCGGTGGGAATGGGGTTCAGAGCTCCCCGCTCAGGTAAATAAGAACGGTGCACTCTTCTCACCTCAGGGGCGTGGACACTTTCAACCCGTCCATAGGGCTTTCACAAGTCATACAGAAGAGCCTGTGGACTTGTAACATTCTCCCAAGGGCTCCATGTGCGTCAGGACATTTGGGGACTTGTGTTCAGGATTTGGAGGGGGCGTCTGCCTTCCAGGAACTTTCCAGTTTGTTTTGGTAAAAAATGACAGTGAAGAAAGAAATTAGTAGAAACCAACAGGTGCTAAGCTGTGTTTGAGGGACGTGTTCTGGTTAAGTTTAGGTGTTTTTGTTTGTTTGTTTATTTACCCATTTTCTAGATGCCACAAAGGAGAAATTCTTAGCTAGTAGAATAAAATGAGTTATAGCAATTCTATTGAACTATTGAGTTAATTAAGGGCATTTGTGTTGGGGTCAGACAGGGCAAAGAAAATGCCAGCTGTGTGGGAGGGTGAGGAAAAGCAGTGATTAATCTGGGGGTGAATTTCAGCCAATCCACCAGCTTCTGGAAATGCCCCTCCGGCTGTTTTTTTTTTTTCCAGTAAAATTGGTGCTGTTTTGCCAATGAAAAGATGGTAGCTATTCTGATAGTAAATTTAATGCCTGGAAATATTTTTTGATACTTTGGGGTTTCAATGCAAGGTCAAATTGTTATTACATGAAATTTTAGCATTTTTGAATAGAAATTAACAAAATTTAGAGTTGTTAATTTATAGTCACAGAAATTAAAGTATGATTTTCTGCTCTTGCTCTATACCTACTACAATGAGTAACTAGACTGATTTACAAAGACACATGACCCCAGTTCACGGAGAGACCTGATTGCAAGACATCCCTGGGGCTGGGGCCTGCCCATCGGCTTCATCCTAAGAGTTTCCTGGGGGCCCTGGCTTCCCTGCAGCATCTGAAGGCACTCAGGCCCCACCTGGAAGGATGCAGAGAGCAGTCCTTCGCATTTTCAGGTGAATTTGTGCAGAGAAATAGTCTTGACCTAAGAACATGGAGCTAAAAGGCCTTTCGACAAAACACTAAACTGCTTCCTGCCCTGCAGGAATAAGCAGCACCTAGAGCTCTCTGCTGATAGCCTTTGAAAATCGGAGGGACTGAGGGAAGCTTCAAGCAGTTTCTGTTTTTGTTTTGTTTTGCTTTTCCATGGAAATTACATATATCTCAGTATTTGCCTATTAAAGATAACTTTGTTAGAAAGATGAGCTCTTGATAATATCCCACAATTGTTAGAAAATACCAATTAGTGAATAATATTCAGATGAGGAAGGAATTGTCTGAGGACACCTAAATAAAGTTTCAAAGCTTGAGGTGTTCTTGGCAGTGACACAGATGAAAGCGCAGGTCCAGTGCTGTGAGCGGCTGTGTTTACCATTTCCCAATTGTGGTGGGTGTGCCCAGAATTCATTGTGGAGCGCGATCTCCAACCACAGGGAGCAGGAAAATAAAACAAAAAGAAATGCATGGAAGTAACTAGTTGGGATTTACTCAGGGGAAGGGAAAAAGCATAAAAGAGAAAAGCTAAAGCCATATTTCCAAAAATTCAAATAATATTTTAAAAAAGAATGCAATCTCACTGGCAATAGCAGATGATAAAAAGCTACTCTTTTTACCAATAAAGTAGGCAAATATTGACCACATTATAGACACACACATATATATAATCACATAGAGACATCATTGCACACCCACAAACATACGCGGCACATGCTACCCGTGAGGCGGTGGCTTGACTGGCCTAGATAAAGGAGACTGGAATCCTCAGGAAGTATTTCTGTAGGTGCAGAAGGGGATGCAATATTGTTGGAAGGCATTGCGGCAGTTTTTCTCTCAAACATATATACATTCCATATCTACAAAATCATCCTCAGTAATATCGATATTACAGATCTGTTCATCTCAATACCATTGCTAAAATTAAAGGCAGCAAACGAAGGAAGGTTATATAAATTGCTATGTCATGCAGTTATTAAAAATTCTACTTAAAAGTGCTTATTGAAATTGATAGGTTAAAGCTATTATAAAGAAAATTATACTATTACATAGACTGTAATTATATTTTTGAACTAAATATTCATGTATGTATGTGCACAAATGAAATGACAGATATGCTAAACCAAACGTGAACAGTGATTACCACTGGGTAATGAAATTGCAGGGGAGTTTTCTCTTCTTTTCACCTGTCTATTGTAATGTTTTTAGGTGAAAATATACATGTTTTTGAGACAGGGCGTTGCTCCATGGGCCAGGCTGGAATGCAGTGGCACGATCACAGCTCACTGTGGCCTCCAACTTCCGGGAGCAATCTTACCACCTCAGCCTCCCCAGTAGCTGGAACTCAAGCACACACCACCACACCTGGCTAATTTTATTTGTATTTTTCATAGAGAAGGCGTTTCGCCATGTTGCCCAGGCTGATCTTGAACTCCTGGGTTCAAGCTATCCTCCAGCTTCAGACTCTCAAAGTGTTGGGATTATAGGCGTAAACCACTGTGCCTGCCCACTTTTTTAACATATGAAATAAAATCTATATCATAGATGTATGTGCATGTGTATATAAGAGATGTCTGTGTGTATGCGAACATGTGGAGAATAATTTCACTTCATCCAAGTGTTCTCTCTTGAAAGATAAATCAAAACGAGAGATTTTGCAGAAAGACAAATGGGATGTACTTTGGAAGAAAGTGCCTTGTTTTGGAGAATATGCAATAATAATCCTCTTGCCCTCTCACTAGTCTTCAAAACTGAATTCCCCGAAGAACTGAGGCTTAGGCAGCATTTTGAGAAGAGGACAGAGCTGCTTGTTGAATGAGGGATGCAAACAGCAGGTGTGGGGACAGTGCCGCATCCATCCCTGAGGTTTCCTGCGCGTGATTCTTCACCCTTCAAACCAGCCCAAGTTCCTCTTTCCAGATGCCCCTGAGCTTCTTCCAGGCACTCAGCCCAGCGGCTCTCATGGGAACCTGTGCCCCCTGCACTGTTGACCACCAGTTTAGGACAGGAATGACCAGCCGCTTCAAGGATGGGGCGATGGCATTCAGGAAAGGAGAGATGCTCACCCATAGGCCAGTGCCTGGGAGGAGGTGCACCCCGCAGCAGGGCGGCTGTGCTACCTCGGGCGGCTGTGTCACGGCTTCCTTCCCCAACTCTCCACTCCAGTATCCTGGGCATCACTCCACAGTAGGAATCAAACAATACACTTGTTAAAGTGTTTGGAACAATTAGATACACAATGCCCAAAGGCATTGCTCAGTGAATGCTGGCTCTATCAGAACTATTATCAGCAGTAGCTGTTTCTGTGGTTGGGACTCTTTGCAAGAGCTATAAAATGCTAAACTGACAAACCACAGGGAAGCTGGGAAGTCAGGGAAATACCACAACCCCTTTAACCAGAGTATGAAATCTCAGGGAAGTCAGTGTTTTGTCTTTTTTTTTTTTTTTTTTGAGACGGAGCCTTGCTCTGTTGCCCAGGCTAGAGTGCAATGGTGTGATCTCGGCTCACTGCAGCCTCCGCCTCCTGGGTTCAAGTGATTCTCCTGCCTCAGCCTCCCCAGTAGCTGAGATTACAGGCACCCACCACCATGCCCGGCTAATTTTTTGTATTTTTAGTAGAGACGGGGTTTTGCCATGTTGACCAGGCTGGTCTTGAACTCCTGAGCTTAGGCAATCCACCCGCCTTGGCCTCCCAAAGTGCTGGGATTACAGGCATGAGCCACCACGCCTGGCCTTTTTCTTATTATTAGTAATAACCCTTAATATAAGATCTACTCTTTAGCAAATTTTAAGTATACAATATAATATTGCTAACCATATGCCCTGTGCTGTATTGTAGCTCTCTAGATATTATTTATCTTGCATAAATGAAACTTTGTACTTTTGGCTATCACATCTCCATTGCTCTGTTACCTCAGTCCCTGGAAGCCACCATTCTACTCTCTGCTTCCATGAGTTTGACTATTTTAAATTCCACATATAAGTGATATCACACAGCATTTGTCTTTCTGTGTCTGGCTGATTTCACTTTGCATCATGTTCTTCGTGTTCATCCATATTGCTGCAAATGGCATAGTTTCCTTCTTTTTTAAAGGCTGCATAGTATTCCATGATGTATGCGTACCACATTTTCTTTACCCATTCATCTGTTGATGGACACTTGGGTTGATTCCATATCTTGGCTATTGTGAATAGTGCTGAAGTAAACATAAGATTGCAGATACCTCTTTCACATACTGATTTGCTTTCCTTTGGACAAATACCCAGAGTGGGTTTGCTAAATTATATGGTAGTTTCATTTTTATTTCTGCTAAGAAACCTGTCTGTTTTTGTTCCAGGATGATGCTGTTTTGATTACCATAGGTTTGTAATATAACTTAAAATTGGCAGGTGTGATCCCTCCAGCTTTGTTCTACTTGTTTAATTGGTCCCATATGAAATTGAGGATTTGGTTTTATTTCTGTGAAAAATGCCATTGGAGTTTTCATAGGGATCACATTGAATCTGTAGATCACTTTTGGTAGTATGGACATTTTAATTATTTAATATTAATTCTTCCCGTCCATGAGCACAATATCTTAATACGTTCTGGCTGCTGTAACAAAATACCATAAACTGAGCAGCTTATAAACCACAGAAATGTATTTCTCACAGTTCTGGAGGCTGGGAAGTCCAAGATCAAGGTGTCAGCAGATTCATTATCTGAGGAGGGCCCACTTTCTGGTTCCTGGATAGCACTTTCTCACTGTGTTCTCACAGTGGGGAGGTGGAAGGGAACTCTCTAAGGTTTTTTAGTAGGGCACTAACCTCAACCAGGAGGACTCCTCTCTCACCACCTCATCACCTCCCAAAGGCCCCTCCCCTCCAAACACTGTGACTTTGGGGGTGAAGATTTCAACATAAATATAGGGGGCCACAAACATTCAGACCATAACTCATGGGATATCTTTCTATTTATTTGTATCTTAATTTTTTAAATCAATGTTTTATTGTTCAGTGTACTGATCTTTTACCTCCTTGGTTAAACTTATTCCTAAGTGTTTGTTGGTGCTATGTTAAATGGGCCAAGGTGGGAGTTGTTTCTTAATTTCTTTTTCAGAGAGTTTATTGTTAGTGTATAAAAATGCATTTTATTTTGTATGCTGATTTTGTAGATTGCAATTATACTGAAGTTATTATTATAAATAATTGTTTGATGGAGTCTAGGGTTTTCTATGTACTTTAGTTCTTTAATCATAGTTTCTTCTAGCTCTTTGAGCATATTTGTCATAAATTCTGTGAAGTATTCCTCTGCTAAGTACAATATGGGGGCCTTTCTCAAGGCATTTGCATAAGCTGTTGTTTTTTGTTTCTGTGTTACACTTTAATTTTTTTTAATGCCTTATACCTTTCTGCTGAAACCTGGGCATTTTGAATAACATAACAACTCTGGACACCGATCCCTCCCATCCCAGTTTGCTTACGGGACTGTCCATTTGTTCAGTGTCTTGGCTGGCCTAGTTCGGTGAAGTCTGTGTCCTCTGCTTCTCAGAGGGCAGAGCTCTGGGCATATGCACAGTCTTCTTGACCACCAGGGACCCTGTGGTTTCAGCGAGGCTGTCTCTGAAATGGTCTGTTTCCCTGATCCCTCTGCTGAGGATGTGGCTTCTCTTCCTCTGTTGGTATCACATCCAACTGTCATCCTTCACAAATTGCTTGTGGATCACCCTACTGTTTTCCACAAGATCATGGGGTATGACTTGCTCTACTCTGATCCAATTAAATCTGGGTCCCTTGGCAGGGGAAGGGTGCTGCTCATCTTTGAGGCATGAGAGACCTTACCTAGAGAGTCCTCTGCACTAGGGACCCAGAGCTGGGAGACTGGACCCCTCCTCCTCTTGATCTCTTTGGGTCCTCTCTGGGTAGCATGAACTAGAGATGGGACAGGCACCACCTTCCCAGCACTGCCAGTAGCTCCATGTGGGCCTGTGTGGAACTCTGCTGTGGAGAATAAATCTGCCCATGTTCATTGGCTGCCAAACCCACTCAGGACAGTTCTTCCCCACCAGGTGCTGAACAGGATGAGAACTGCCCATGGTCACCGGTTTCCCAGCCTGCTGGAGAGGTTCTTCCTTACTGCAGAACTGTGGATGGATGGAGGGAATTCCTACAGCAAATGCCCTGTCCTCCCACTATTCTTGCCAAGTATCTGTAGATTTTGTTTAACAAATTCTTCTCCGGTTCTGTAAGCCCTTTGATCAATCTCCAGTGATTTGGAATGATTGATTTTGCTGATTTTGATCAGCATAATAATGGATGCCTCTCTGGGAGAACAGTTTCCACAGCCTTCTTAAGCCATGCCACTCCAGAAGTCATGCCTCCAAGTTGCTTCTCTCTTAAAACCCTAGTAAGTTGAAAAATGTCTGCAGGTCTCTGCATGCTCTCTATAATGATGCCTCATGTCTTTGAACCTGCAGTTCTCTCCCCGTCAATGTCCGACTTTCATTTTTATCATCGTTCCCCTTAAAGATCTACTTAGATGTCACCCGCCTTAAAAAGACCCCTGGAGGGTTTTTAGATTATGAACATCTGAAGATTTTAGAACTGTTCTAAATGGTATAAAATATTTAAATCTTCTTGTAAAACTCTGATTGGGCGAGTTGCTTTAGTGGAATTCAGTCTAGAATGATCAGCAGTAACTAGTATTTGACTTTGAAGACGATGCTGCCTGCTTTAGCCTGGTATGTAGGCACTGGTGATGATGCTGCCTGCTTTAGCCTGGCATGCAGGCACTGGTACTGGTTTTTAGGCACTCTGAGTAGACAGAAAATGTCATAGTAGTTTCTATTTTAATTCAAGGAGGAAAATGCAGGATATCAATGCTGCTACATAGACACTGACTTTTCTAAAAATATGCCACATTTGTCATTATAGTATCTAAGTTTTATGGAACATACATCTGGACATTATATATACTTCTAGATTTTACCATTGAATCCTTAACATTGTGCTTAAATATTATTATAGCCCATTTATTTTTTTTTCACCTTTTTTTTTTTTCTAACCTTTGATTTTTTTTTTTATTATACTTTAAGTTTTAGGGTACATGTGCACATTGTGCAGGTTAGTTACATATGTATACATGTGCCATGCTGGTGCACTGCACCCACTAACTCGTCATCTAGCATTAGGTATATCTCCCAATGCTATCCCTTCCCCTTCCCCCCACCCCACCACAGTCCCCAGAGTGTGATATTCCCCTTCCTGTGTCCATGTGATCTCATTGTTCAATTCCCATATAGCCCATTTATATAGAGAGAAGCTGCAGTTTAAAAATGGATGTTCAAAGTCTCTCAGGTGCACAGAGCTAACAAGAGCAAAGTCCAGATTTTAAAAACTTCTTAAGTCACACCAAATACCACAGCTCCTTATTTGGATTTTACTATTGCGTTTACTTCCAGGAGATGAATTTCTATTCCCAGGAAATATCTGCGTAAATAATATAGAAATATATAAGTATTTAGAATGTCAGAAAAACAAATAAGAGATTCATAAGTTTTATATGGAAAACAAGAAGATATAAACAAAATAGGGTTTTAAAGTACTAAGCCATGAACATGCTAAACTTAAATTCATATTTTGTAATAGGATGCATTAGTTGAGCAACACTTAATATAAAATCCCTGAAAGATAAGATAGCAAGCAATGAGACTGTGGTTTTCACTTTAGATTTCAAAACTATTAGGAAAAATTAATTTCTGTCATGCTTAGATACAATATTCTCACATTTTAAATATGAAAATAAAAATAGTGCAGGAAAGTCCATTTTCTTCTATGGATCCAGTGGTCACATTTCTTTAGAAGAGCAAGCAAATATCATGACTACTGGGAATTGCCTGCATTATATTCATAACCAGGTACAAGACAGTTTATTTCCTAAGTAGTTAAGTGCAATGAATTCATCTTAAGTCCTTAAAACTTCCCATGTGAACTCTGCACAAAAGCACTTCCGTGAAGACGTTCTCAATATTTGGAGGAAGAATTCGTAAAGAGCTTGAATTAATTCAATTGGTCATTAATTTCCTATGCAGCTAATTGCTACTGATGACATTAAATGCCAACCTCATCATTGCTTTGTCTTGAACAAGGGCAATGACATCAGATTACCCCTGGCTACAGCTGGCCTCACTGGCAGCACCCGTGGGACCAAGCGGATACGTGTGGAGCCTGTGCACCCCTCTCCAGCCGCCTCCTGCAGGTGCATCCCGCGCTTCCTTCAGAACTCAGGTGGTGTTCACTTAGCCTTCCGTCAGCTCCTTTTGGATGGACAGGGTGGACTTCCTCTTTCTCCCTCTTCACCTTGTATCTACTTTCAATGAAATGTCCATAGCAGATTATGTGTCTAAACATTTGTTTTCCACATTTGATGGTGCACTTCTTAAATGTGGGTATTAAGTTTCTCCTAGCATTTGGTATGATGGCCAGACTCTAGTATTGCTGAAAAGATGTCTGAGCAATAGATGCTCATGGAAGGGAGAGTGTCATCGAGGCAGATGCCCTAAGAATGTCTTTATGGAGAAGGGAAGTACTAACCTGGCCCGAGGTGATGAGTAGTAGCAAAGAAGGCTAAAAACGGAAGGGAGAGAAGCCCAACACAGGAACCTGTTTCCTGAATATTGGAACGGCCAGAGCAGGACACCTCTTCCTGACCAAACAGAACAGAGGCTTCTACCTGGAGAACATGGATGTCTTCCAAAAGATCTGGGGATGCCCACCTTTAGGGTGATTTAATAAGAAATTAAGGGCAGACAAAATTCTCTGGCATTTTCTTCATCATGATGACTCTGAGGTGTGTCCCACCCCGCGGTGGGTCAGAGCGGGCGTGTGCTTGTCACGTGCTCACCCGTGTCTCCAGCGCCCAGAAGTGCAGGTTGCATGTGCTACACTCAGTAAACACTGGCCAGTTTCACAGATAAACTCAGGAAGACACAAAGAGTCACATTATTTTCTCTGGAACAAGTAAGTCTGAAGCCCAGTTCCCATCACAGGGAGATTTTCTCTCAGTCACCACTGGAACTCACTCAGCCTCTACCCAGGGTTACCCAGGGTCGGCGTGGATCATGACACCTTCAGGAGGGAGACATAGGGTGTGGATCGCCATGTAGGAATTTCACGTACTGGGATAGAGGAGCAGGAAAAAACATTCTATCTTAAAACTGGAGTTTGCAGCCTCTGGGGGACGGCTGACGTGGAACCGTGATGGTGCTACCGGCATCTGCTATGTTACCCTCGTGCCTGCTGTTGTGTGTCAGGTTTTATATGTTAATAAATTGTTAGGATTATAAAAACATAATATGCCATAAAATGGCAACAATATGAATAGGAGAAAGTAGATTTTTCATCAGAAGACCCAGATTCAATCTAAATTCTCTTCCTTAGGAGTCGAGTGTGACTGGGCGACTCGCTACTTCCAACCTCCATTTTTGCACGTTCTCACCATCCCATAATATTATGAGAATTAAATAATAGAATATATATGAAATATCTAATGGAATATTTGGAAGCAAATATTTGCTCAATGATATTTTGAATAAATAAATTAATGGATAATAAACATATAATCATAACACCATAAACAAAACCTACAGAACAAAAGCATTTCTATCCCAGATATTAAAAGTCCCTGTTGTAGATGAGGACAGGTAAGTGGCCTAAGGTCATTCCCAGGCTGGGTCCAAATAGAACAGTGTTCACGCCACGCAGACACCAGCAGGCGTCCCCTGAGAGGTCCCTGCAGGCACCTCAACACCTGCAGATGCCTCACCCTTCACCTGTGGCCCCAGAACGCTGTGGAAAAATGACTTGACAGAAGCACAGGGACAAACATGGGGTTTCAAGGCCATCGGAAGCCCAGAGCAGCAGCTAGACCCGAGGAACTCGGCCATGGTGGCTTTTGAGTGAGGAAAGAGGAGTGGCTGAGATTTGACTGGGGTCATTGTTCAGCGGTCATGTGGGCTTAAGGGGTGAGTACAGGGAGGGATAGTTGCGTTTACGCATAAATCAAAGTGGAGAGTGGTCTGGCCCCTTCAAATGTGCACACACACAGCATTCAGCATTTGCATTTTTAATTCCTGTTTCCTATGTTGCTTCCCTTGGAAATGATTTTTAGTTAATACTTAAAACAGACACTGCGCAGGTACAAGCAGCTTAGTCAATGCTCCATGTCTGAGGGAGGATGGTTTTTGCCTGCCCTCCAAGAGTTTCCCAGAATATCCAGTGTTTCTTGAGTGTGATAAGTGGAGCCCAAGTGGAAAAATCTTTCCCATGAGGAAGCGATGGGTCGGCAGCTCCACGCGAGACTCACACCATTGCTGAGTTTCCACACATTGACTCCACCACGCCATGTTCCGTGGTCATCAGAGCAGGTGTCTGTCCTGCGGCCCCACTTTGCACTCCCCTCACTAGAACCTTCGTATAGTAAAGGCTTCAACTTCACTGAAGGTCTTCTGTGTTTACCATCTCATGATTAATTACCAAGGGAGAATAAGAGGTGGATTTGTCAGCTGGAATTTTACTCAGGCCTTTAATTTTGAAAATTAAAAGCTTTCAAATGATTTAGAACATGTTGAGGAAAAAAGCCATGTCTGTTTGCAGATATTTTTGTGTGTTGCTCATGCCTTTCTACCAAAAGTACAAGCCTTTTCAGGGTCTGTGAGCCCGCCAACCATTGCAAAATAATTCACAAATACACATTTAAGATAAAAAACAAAACTGGCCGGGCATGGTGGCTCAGGCCCGTAATCTCAGGGCTTTTGGAGGCTGAAGGGAGAGGATTGCTTGAGGCCAGGAGTTCAAGATCAGCCTGGGCAACATAGCAAGGCACTGTCTCTACAAAACGTATATAAAAAATTATCCAGCCAGGCGTGGTGGCTCACACTTGTAATCCCAGCACTTTGGGAGGCAGAGGCAGGTGGATCACGAGGTCAGGAGTTCAAGACCAGCCTGGCCAAGATGGTGAAACCCTGTCTCTACAAAAATTAGTTGGGTGTGGTGGCGGGCACCTGTAATCCCAGCTACTCAGGAAGCTGAGGCAGGAGAATCACTTGAACCTGGGATGGCGGAGACTGGAGTGAGCTGAGATCGTGCCACTGTATTCTAGCCTGGACATCAGAGCAGGACTCTGTCTCAGAAAAAGAAAAAAAAGAATTAGCCAAGTGTGGTGATGTGTACTTGTAGTCTCAGCTACTCAGGAAGCTGAAATGGGAATATCTTTTCAGCCCAAGAGTTTGAGGCTGCAGAGAGCTGCTATCATGCCACTGCACTCCTGTCTGGGCAACAGAGAAAGGCCCTGTCTCAAAAATAAAATAAAATAAAATAAAATAAAATAAAATAAAATAAAATAAACAGGTGACAACTCAGTTTTAAACATTTAAGCCAATGAAAACCCTAATTAATAGCTATTTTATAACTGGAATTAACTAAAGTTCTACTGCACTGATCTAGATGTCAGCAATACCTGAGTTAAAGCCCATCTCTAGGACTCAGGTAATATTAGTCTATGAATTTAATTTATTCACCTGTAAACTAGAAATAATGTGTCAGACCACACGGGGTTTTTATGATCTAAGTAGATGACAGACATAAAAGCAACAAGCATAATGTCTCACCCGAAGTAGAATTCAATATTATTATTTGTTTTTTCTTTATCCTTCCTCTGAATTTAGGCATAAGTAGATAAAGCACAAGAAAATTACCTGAGCTTTGAAACTGCAAACAGAAGCCACCATTTCAGAGCATCCCCTTCTGCACCCAGCACTTCCTTCATCAGCTGCACCTCCCTCACTGATGTGGGTGAGCACCCTGAGCCTTTCAACACCCTGCATGAAAAATCCATTACTTCACTAAGTCATATTTGCCAAGGCAAGGAAGAGTTGGCCCAAAATATTTCCTCCTGAGAGAGGACTTGTCCCACCCACATCAGATGTAAGACACCCATCTCATTCTGTTTTGTTCCTTTCAAAGGATTTGCTATTATTTGTAACTATGTTTTAGATAAAGGTATTTATTCCTCTTTCCCCCCAGTGCGAGGACAGGGAAAGTGTGATCTGGACCCTGGTGTCACCAGCCCGGTGTCTGGAGCACAAGAGATAATAAATGTTGAAATCATGAGTGAACAAATACAATGTATAAAATTTCAGTAAATACTGTTTATTTTTTAAATTTTGCCATAATCTATACAATAAGTATTAACCAATGATGGATCTTTTCTTTACAGAAGGTTACCAAACCAGTTTGCATTTGTTGACTTCGTTAGTGGAGGCTCCTCCACAACGAGCTCGTTAATTTTAGGCCACCTTGCGTGGCTTTGGTTGACACTCAGTGTGTGACAGCTAATGTGATGCTCCCTGAAAAGTATATCGCAGAGTCTCGCAGAATTACGAGGAAGGCAATGGAGCTCCGCAGCCCTGCGTTTAACCTTTATTTATTTATCCATCATAAAATGTGGGGCTTCTCCAGTTCCAGACAATATCTGAAAACTAGAGTAACAAAGATTAAGGGGACACACACAGCCTCTATGCAGACACGCTGACATACGGAGCTCAGCCCTCTATGCAGACACACTGAAATATGAAGACACCCACAGGCCTCTATGCAGACACGCTGACATACGGAGCTCGGCCCTCTATGCAGACACACTGAAATATGAAGACACCCACAGGCCTCTATGCAGACACGCTGAAATATAGAAACACACACAGCTCTCCATGCGGACATGCTGAAATACAGAGCACAGCCCTCTATGCAGACACACTGAAATATAGTCATTGGCAACTAAAATACAGTGTGAACACATCCAACAAAATGGGCGCACAGGGAGTTATGACAGGAACTTATGACAGCAAACGGCACATGGACCCACAGGTCTGATGATCTCTGGCCATCCCAAAGGTTGGGCCACTCCCTACCATATGCACCTCTGCTGAAGCAAGTTGAGAACTGACTCGCCGGGAGGGAGTCGCTGGCCAACGTGAGGCCAGCCTTGTGCACAGAGCGCGCATGGAAATGGTGCGGGTTCGCCGTCTCGGGAGTTGGATACGACTGCCATCTTTTTATAAATGAGAATTGCAGGATCATCGACCATTGTGTACTCACACATTTAAAGATGTGTAAGTCTTAAATAACCCTTTGGGAATATTAAGGAGCTGTCACAGGGGTTCTCAATTTTGGATGTGCATAAAAACACTTCTGTAGTGATTTTAAATGAAAGTGCCTGGTCTCAACTAACACCTGCTGAACCAGAATTGCCACGGTTTGGGTTTGAGAATCTGTTTTTTTGTTTTTGCTTTTATAAGTTTCAGAAGCAAAAGTGAGGGTCGCTGGTTTGCAGGTGATTGAAGGGTTTGGCCACCTGTGGGCCATGATGTCATTGTTGTTGGTGGTGGTAATGGTGAGGTTGGGGCCGTGATGTTGTTGTCATTGGTGGTAGTGATGGTGAGGTCAGGGCTGTGATGTCATTGTCATTGGTGGTGATGGTGAGGTCGGGGCTGTGATGTCGTTGTCATTGGTGGTGATGGTGAGGTTGGGGATGTGATGTCGTTGTCATTGGTGGTGGTGATGGTGAGGTTGGGGCTGTAGCATCGTCATTGGTGGTGGTGATGGTGAGGTCGGGGCTGTGATGTCATTGTCATTGGTGGTGGTGATGGTGAGGTCGGGGCTGGGATGTCATTGTCATTGGTGGTGGTGATGGTAAGGTCAGGGCTATAGTGTCGTCATTGGTGGTGGTGATGGTGAGGTCAGGGCTGTAGCATCGTCATTGGTGGTGGTGATCGTGAGGTCGGAGCTGTGATGTCATTGTCGTTGGTGGTGGTGATGGTGAGGTCAGGGCTGTAGCGTCATCATTGGTGGTGATGGTGAGGTCGGGGCTGTGATGTCATTGTCATTGGTGGTGGTGATGGTGAGGTCAGGGCTGTGATGTCGTTGTCATTGGTGGTGGTGATGGTGAGGTCGGGGCTGTGATGTCATTGTCATTGGTGGTGGTGATGGTGAGGTCGGGGCTGTAGCATCCTCATTGGTGGTGGTGATGGTGAGGTCGGAGCTGTGATGTCGTTGTCGTTGGTGGTGGTGATGGTGAGGTCAGGGCTGTGATGTTGTCATTGGTGGTGGTGATGGTGAGGTCGGGGCTGTGATGTCGTTGTCATTGGTGGTGGTGATGGTGAGGTCGGGGCTGTGATGTCGTTGTCATTGGTGGTGGTGATGGTGAGGTCGGGGCTGTGATGTCGTTGTCATTGGTGGTGGTGATGGTGAGGTCGGGGCTGTGATGTCGTTGTCATTGGTGGTGGTGATGGTGAGGTCGGGGCTGTGATGTCGTTGTCATTGGTGGTGGTGATGGTGAGGTCGGGGCTGTGATGTCGTTGTCATTGGTGGTGGTGATGGTGAGGTCGGGGCTGTGATGTCGTTGTCATTGGTGGTGGTGATGGTGAGGTCGGGGCTGTGATGTCGTTGTTGTTGGTGGTGGTGATGGTGAGGTCAGGGCTGTAGTGTTGTCATTGGTGGTGGTGATGGTGAGGTCGGGGCTGTGATGTCGTTGTTGTTGGTGGTGGTGATGGTGAGGTCAGGGCTGTAGTGTTGTCATTGGTGGTGGTGATGGTGAGGTCGGGGCTGTGATGTCGTTGTCGGTGGTGGTGGTGATGGTGAGGTCACTGTAGGAAAGCCCAGCAGAATGGCCCTGAAGCGTGGGCTCCGTCCCTGATATGCCTTCCCATGATCTCTTTTCCTAAGGAAAAATCCGAATAAATGAAGGGTGAAGGCAGCCTTGAAAATGAAGCAAATTATAAAGGTAAACTATAGGCAAAAACTTCAGGGGAGTCTAAACGTTTTATCTCGATGATTAATGGGTGCCTTGGGTAGCATTCTCTACATGTCTTAGGGCATCAGGAAACAGAACTGCCCTATTTTTTCTCAGAGATTTATTCATTCAATGAACATATATTAAGTACCAAGTATTTCCAGGTCTTATTCCAGTGATTGGAATTCAATAATACACTTACTGACAAATTCCCCTGTGTCTGTAGAACTTACAATCTGATGGGTAATAAAACAGGTCAGTAACAATAAAAATTGCAATAAATAAGTGGAGTAGGAATTAAATGATAAAAGGTACTATGTATGCAAGAATAAGGGATCCTGGACACAGTTGTGAGCAAGGCTGCGAGGCTAAGTGTGCAGTCAGGGTGGGCATCCCTGTGGAGGTGACGTCTGAGCCTCCATTACACTCAAATGTGGACATGAGCTGCCTCGGAAAGGAACATTCCAGAGAAAGGCACAGCCAGGGTAAGGCTCTGACCTGTGTCCTGCATGCTCAGTGAAGCTGCTTGGTTCAAGTGGAATGAAAATAAGGAGAATAAAATTTTTTTTAAGTATCAGAATTTGCTCAGATGCCATCTCTACAGGTCATGACCCAGCTCTGGGAGAGCCTTGGCAATCTGCTTTAACTAGGGAAATGCTGCAGGGTTTGAGTAGAGAAGGCGTCTGGCCTGACACAGCAGATATCTGGCCAGTGTTGAGAAGGGACTCTGCACATTCGTCAGGAGTCCAGATGGAGATTATTGTGACGCAGGCCAGAATGGCTGAGGTCACGAGGGGTGGCTGAAGTTTGGGTACATCTGAAAGGTAGAGGCAATACGATGTCCTGATGGATTAGAGCTGAGGTTGAGAAAACAGATGAGTTAATGACTACGGCATCGCTCCTTTCTCCTGAGGATCTGAAGGTGTTGTCCGCGGAGCTGCTGTGACGACAACACCCCACATTGTTCCCCATACACTCAGCCTCCCTTGCTGTGGGTGAGGCCACGTGGCCATTTCTGGCCGATAGACTGCAAGGGGAAAAGCTATGCCACTTCTACCAAAGCAGGTAGAACAGAGCACATCTTCACCTTTGGGTCCTGCCCTATGTGAGGACCTCAGAATCCTCACACAGGGAGCGTGCAGCTGCTGCTGGTGGAGCCCAGCAGACAGACCCCGAGTGACTGTGGATTCATGAGTTTCTGTCATTAAACAATGTAATTTTTTAATGTGAAAAATAAATTGTGTGTTTTTATAATTAAGAAACAAATTTTCCAAAACGCAAAACATAACATTTGTTGGTGGTGGGGCGGGGGGAGGGGGGTGAAAAAAATATTAAAACCAAAATGATGCTGTGGTTTTCTGTGGCTGAACCTTTTTGTTCCACCGGTAGTTTTTATGCATTGATTAGTTTTTAAGATTTCTGAAGGATGCTCTAACTCATGAAGCATACAAGAAACCCCATAATAAAAGAAGTCAGGAATATTAAAGTTAAAATCTCTAAATAATGTGATAATATGATGATGAAAAAATTAAATTCATAAAAACTGACCCGGGATTTACACAGATATAGAATTATCAAATACATTTATAAATTACTATACCTGAATTAGGTATGTCCAAAAGTTAAGTAGAGACACTCATGATATATAAAAGACTCAAACCCAACTTCTAGAGGAAAAAAGCTACAACTTTTAAAATGAAAACTACAGTGGATGGGAGGAACAACAGATTACACATTGCAGAAGCATATAGGCATGAAGTTGGAGACACAGCAAAAGAAACTAACCACAATGAAATACAAAGTACACACAGTCAATGTACATAGAAAAAAAAGATGCTATAGGAGAGAGAAACAGAAAGAAAGAAAAGAGCATCATGATCTGTGGACAAGTCCAAGCAACCTGATATATTGGTAATTGTCATCCATAAAGATGGAGAAAGATGCTGAAAGCAGATGCTTGGAGAAAAATGTTCCAAATTACCAAAACAGAGACCATATAGCCAAGACAATCCTAAGCAAAAAGAACAAAGCTGGAGGCATCATGCTACCAGACTTCAAACTATACTACAAGGCTACAGTAACCAAAACAGCATGGTACTGGTACCAAAACAGATATATAGACCAATGGAATAGAACAGAGGCCTCAGAAATACCACCACACATCTACAGCCATCTGATCTTTGATAAACCTGACAAAAACAAGCAATGGAGAAAGGATCCCCTATTTAATAAATGGTGTTGGGAAAACTGGCTAGCCATATGTGGAAAACTGAAACTGGACCCCTTCCTTACACCTTATACAAAAATTAACTCAAGCTGGATTAAAGATTTAAGCCTAAGACCTAAAACCATAAAAACCTTAGAAGAAAACCTAGGCAATACCACTTAGGACAGAGTCATGGACAAAGACTTCATGACTACAACACCAAAAGCAATTGCAATAAAAGCCAAAATTGACCAATGGATCTAATTAAACTAAAGAGCTTCTGCACAGCAAAAGAAACTATCATCACAGTGAACAGGTAACCTACAGAATGGGAGAAAATTTTTGCAATCTATCCATCTGACAAAGGGCCAATATCCAGAACCTACAAGGAACTTAAACAAATTTACAAGAAAAAATCAAACAACCCCATCAAAAAGTGGGCAAAGGATATGAACAGACACTTTTCAAAAGAAGACATTTATGCAGCCAACAAACATATGAAAAAAAGCTCATCACTGGTCATTAGAGAAATGCAAATCAAAACCACAATGAGACACCATCTCATGCCAGTTAGAATGGCGATCATTAAAAAGTCAGGAAACAACAGATGCTGGAGAGGATGTGGAGAAATAGGAACACTTTTACACTGTTGGTGGGAGTGTAAATTAAAAATCCACAATGGTTGTGTAAGTTCCACACAAGGAGGCGAGAAGGGAAGAGTGCAACCATGATCTTCCCATCCCAGAGGTGAGAAGGGAAGAGGGCGACCATGACCCTCCCATCCGGGAGGGAATTCATCGAAGGTCACCTGATGGCTGCCCATGGAAAGTCATAGATCCCAATATGGTTACACATGGAAGGAAAAGGTTACTGATAAGTCAACAAAAATGACACAATAAAACCATTAAAACGTTCAATCCAAAAGAATGCGGAAAAGAGGAAAGAATCATGAGAACAACTGAAGTAAATAGAAAACAAAGGAAATGATATTTGTGGATGAAATTTGCAATGGAAAAAATCAAACCCTCTAAGTGATTAAATGAAAATGTCTAAACATGCCAATCATGAAGCAGATTGTCAAACTGGTTAAAAATGCTGTCATGGCATATCCCACAGTTGTTACTTAGTATATATTCTGTGATTCTGTGATTCTTTCAAATGTCACCCTTTGGATGCTTAGTTTACCAATCTCCAGTCTTTGTCTTTTTTTTTTTTTTTTGGCATCAGCATTTAATGCTTAAAATTATACATTTTACTTGAAATAATGCTTTTGCTAAATATAACAGCTTTTGATACATAGTATTTTCATTGCTAGACAAATCTTACATCTTAAAATTTTCCATTGTGTCTATCTTATGATTGATTAACGTGTAGAAGAGTTTATTTTAATTGCCAAATAGGAGGTTTCATTTATCTTTAGTTATTGTCCTTTAAGTACACTTTGTCAGAAACATCCTTTTAATCTTGTATTATAGCAAAATACATAGTGAATTTTGTATAGTATTCTTAAGGATTTTAGAAAATCAATTCTCTAATTTGGATTTGTATGCCCAATAAATCAAAGTTTTAATTGCCTTAAGTCTTGTATTTTTAACTATCTTTTATTATCAAAATTGAGGGATATTTAAATCTCCCCAATGTGACAATTGATTAATATAACCATGGAATTCTATCAATCTGTGGGCTTTAAACATACTGAGGTGATATTATTAGATGAGAAAATATTTAGAATTGTTTATCATTCCTAGTGGGTCTCATGTTTACTAGTATGTACTGGCATTCTTTATCTATAATAATGCTTTTTGTCTACCTCTATTTTCTGTCTTTTCTTTTCAAATAATTATGTTATGTGCCAAATTGTTCATTATAGTGGCTGCATCATTTTGCATTCTTGCCAGCAGTGTAAGAGAGATCTGGTTTATCCACATTCTCACCAGGACTTATGTGTCTTTCTTTTTATTTGAGCTGTTTTAACAAGCATACAGTGACACCCCACTATGACTTTAATTTGCATTTTCTTAGTGGGTAACAATGCAGTCATTTCATGTGTTCGCCATTCCCGTATTAATTGTGTTGGAATATCTCTCCAAATCTTTTGTCCATTTTCTAGTTAGATTGTTATATTTTACTGTTGCATCTTGAGAGTTCTTTATATATTTCACAGATAAGCTCTCCTTCAGATGTGGTATATGCAAGTATTTTCCCCCATCTGTAGATCTTATTTTTGTTCTTTTAATAAGGCATTTTACAGAACAAATATTTCTAATTTTGGTGGAGTCTAATTTATAGGCTTATTGTTTTATAGATTATAGTTGTGATGTGTAGTCTAAGGACTATTCCTTTACTTCTAAGTACTGACTTTCTTTAAAGTTAGCTACATAAAATTGTTTCCCAGAAAACACCTCTTTTCTCCTTCAGTCACTGTCCTGTGTTTCATGATACACCTCTGGATTAAATATTTACCTGGTTCCAAAGATGGCAGAAATCCTAACGATGTAATTTCAAAAGGGGATATCGGCCCTAAGATATACTTTTTTTGCATTTTGGGAATACCAAAGAAAGAAAACATAAAATGGGAACTGCTTTTAGCAATCCATCTAGTGAATCACTTTACTACTCAAAATTTAAAAAAACTCAAGATGGAGCCTTGCTGGAGCTTCACCTCCACAGGCGAGGGCCACACACTTCTCTTGTGATGCTTTCCATCTGCCTCAACAATCTCCTCTCTTCTCTCTATTTAGAGTGCTCTTCTGTTCTAAGTTCAGTTCTCAGTGCTTCTGAAATTAAACGAATCAAACTGAATATTCACTTTCAAACAGTGAATATGTTGAAATGGACACAGGCCAGAACTCAGATGTCCATTCTTGAAACCACACAGAGGCTGCATTCCCACTAAGCGATGGAGAACCCGGGCTTGGGGGCTGTGCCCTGTGTGCATCACAAACCCCGTCCGCTTCACGTAGTGTAAACTTGGAAACGGTCTCCAAGACGGATTACAATTTACTCACCACTCCCTCCACAGACTCCCACCTTGCCACATTCTATTTTCTGTATCCCCTGTGTGCATTTTGTTAGACTTTTGAGCATGTTCTCAAAATAAAAGTTACTTCTCTTACATTTTAGCCCCGTTCTACTGAGTTGGCAAAATGACCCAGGGTTCCTGTGACGGTGACGAACCCTGACATGCAGGTGAAACCCGAACACACTGGAAAACTCCGGAAACGCTTCCAATACTGCTCCTTGCAAACGCCTGCCTCAACACTTACTGGGAAAACACTCTGGTTGCCCTAATTCTCACGTTCCCTTTCTCAAATCAAAATAGGAAGAAGAATGATCTAGAGAGAAAATAAAGATGTGCTCTCGACCCAGCCATCCGCCGTGGGAGTCGCCACCGCACCCAGCAAGTCACTATTGACTCACAATTAAATACGACTACTTAGAATCTCACTAGATTACACAGCAGGTACAGCAGTAAGAAAGTGTGCGTCGTAAAAACACCAGGGGCCCCTTCCTCAACTCAGAGTGAGGGCCCACAAATTTAAACGTCTTCTCTATCACCTGGTAATTTCGGTACCTTGTGTAAATCCACTTTTCCCTAGACTGCCAATGATTCTTTCCAAATCTGACAGAAACCATTAAGACATAATTTTACAAAACTTTTCCAATGCACCAAGCTGAACCCTCTCCTCCTTTGGCGGGGAAGGAAAAAACAAAACAAAAACCTCCAGGTCCAGTTTCACATAAACCAAGCAATGGAAAAATTGTGTTTAGGTTTTCAGGTCCTCAATTTAATTCAATGCATTTAAATTGCTATTTTACTCAGTGAATATTTTGTAATTTCTTCCTCACTTGTATCACATCAATATGGGAAGCATATTTTTAGACAAAATATAGAGAATTTCTAACAGAATTTTGAACAACTTTCAGTGCAAGAAGCAGTCTGGGAGAATTCCCAAAACATTATGGTGATTTCTGAGAAGAATAGAAACTTGGATAATTCCATAATTAAAGACCCTGTATCTTTTCTCACTGTACCCACCCACACGTACACTGGCATATGTCCCTCCACACATATGCATACATAATGCATGCATGATGATTATACACGTGTGGGTGCATGCCGTATGTCTAGAAATTGTATAAAATTTAAATCTGCTCCACAGGGTTGCTGACTTAAATAAACACTGTGCAATTCTTGAGGAATAAAACGGTGGCCGCTTTTCTCCGCCTGTTTGATAGACTTACAGTTTCTGGTCTGGGCTGACCTACAACAGTACGTTTTGCCCACTGCCTTTCAGTCGTGATCAATTTTCTCCAGTTACTGGTGCGTTGATTTTCCATATCTTTTGTAACAAATGACCAGACATTGGGCGGCTTGAACATCTCAAATGTATTTTCTCACAGCTCTGGAGGCCAGAAGTCCGACGTCCTCCTCACTGGGATGAAGTCGGGGTGTAGGCAGGGCCGCGCCCGCTCGCCGGGCTCTAAGGGAAGATCCTGGCTGCCTCTCCAGCTCTCCTGGCTGGGCCCCGCCCCCTCGCCAGGCTCTGAGGGAAGATCCTCGCTGCCTCTCCAGCTCTCCTGGCTGGGCCGCGCTCACTCGCCAGGCTCTGAGGGAAGATCCTGGCTGCCTCTCCAGCTCTCCTGGCTGGGCCGCGCTCCCTCGCTAGGCTCTGAGGGAAGATCCTCCGGGCCTCTCCAGCTCTCCTGGCTGGGCCACGCCCCCTCGCTAGGCTCTGAGGGAAGATCCTCGCTGCCTCTCCAGCCCTCCTGGCTGGGCCACGCCCCCTCGCTAGGCTCTGAGGGAAGATCCTGGCTGCCTCTCCAGCTCTCCTGGCTGGGCCACGCCCCCTCGCTGGGCTCTAACGGAAGATCCTCGCTGCCTCTCCAGCCCTCCTGGCTGGGCCACGCCCCCTCGCTAGGCTCTGAGGGAAGATCCTGGCTGCCTCTCCAGCCCTCCTGGCTGGGCCACGCCCCCTCGCTGGGCTCTAACGGAAGATCCTCGCTGCCTCTCCAGCTCTCCTGGCTGGGCCGCGCCCCCTCGCCAGGCTCTGAGGGAAGATCCTCGCTGCCTCTCCAGCTCTCCTGGCTGGGCCACGCCCCGTCGCTAGGCTCTAACGGCAGATCCTCGCTGCCTCTCCAGCTCTCCTGGCTGGGCCGCGCCCCCTCGCCAGGCTCTGAGGGAAGATCCTGGCTGCCTCTCCAGCTCTCCTGGCTGGGCCACGCCCCCTCGCCAGGCTCTGAGGGAAGAACCTCGCTGCCTCTCCAGCTCTCCTGGCTGGGCCACGCCCCCTCGCCAGGCTCTGAGGGAAGAACCTCGCTGCCTCTCCAGCTCTCCTGGCTAGGCCACGCCCCCTCGCCAGGCTCTGAGGGAAGATCCCCGCTGCCTCTCCAGCCCTCCTGGCTGGGCCGCGCCCCCTCGCTAGGCTGTAACCGAAGATCCTCCGGGCCTCTCCAGCTCTCCTGGCTGGGCCGCGCCCCCTCGCCAGGCTCTGAGCGAAGATCCTCGCTGCCTCTCCAGCTGTCTTGGCTGGGCCCCGCCCCCTCGCCAGGCTCTGAGGGAAGATCCTGGCTGCCTCTCCAGCTCTCCGGGCTGGGCCGCGCTCCCTCGCTAGGCTCTGAGGGAAGATCCTCCGGGCCTCTCCAGCTCTCCTGGCTGGGCCACGCCCCCTCGCTAGGCTCTGAGGGAAGATCCTCCGCGCCTCTCCAGCTCTCCTGGCTGGGCCGCGCTCACTCGCCAGGCTCTGAGGGAAGATCCTCGCTGCCTCTCCAGCTCTCCTGGCTGGGCCGCGCTCACTCGCCAGGCTCTGAGGGAAGATCCTGGCTGCCTCTCCAACCCTGCTAGCTGGGCCACGCCCCCTCGCTAGGCTCTAACGGAAGATCCTCGTTGCCTCTCCAGCTCTCCTGGCTGGGCCGCGCCCCCTAGATAGGCTCTGAGGGAAGATCCTCGCTGCCTCTCCAGCTATCCTGGCTGGGCCGCGCCCCCTCGCCAGGCTCTGAGGGAAGATCCTGGCTGCCTCTCCAGCTCTCCTGGCTAGGCCACGCCCCCTCGCCAGGCTCTGAGGGAAGATCCTCGCTGCCTCTCCAGCCCTCCTGGCTGGGCCACGCCCCCTCGCTGGACTCTAACGGAAGATCCTGGCTGCCTCTCCAGCTCTCCTGGCTGGGCCGCGCCCCCTCGCTAGGCTCTGAGGGAAGATCCTGGCTGCCTCTCCAGCTCTCCTGGCTAGGCCACGCCCCCTCGCTAGGCTCTAACGGAAGATCCTCGTTGCCTCTCCAGCTCTCCTGGCTGGGCCGCGCCCCCTAGATAGGCTCTGAGGGAAGATCCTCGCTGCCTCTCCAGCCCTCCTGGCTAGGCCACGCCCCCTCGCCAGGCTCTGAGGGAAGATCCTCGCTGCCTCTCCAGCCCTCCTGGCTGGGCCACGCCCCCTCGCTGGACTCTAACGGAAGATCCTCGCTGCCTCTCCAGCCCTCCTGGCTGGGCCACGACCCCTCGCTGGGCTCTAACGGAAGATCTTCGCTGCCTCTCCAGCTCTCCTGGCTGGGCCGCGCCCCCTAGATAGGCTCTGAGGGAAGATCCTCGCTGCCTCTCCAGCTCTCCTGGCTGGGCCGCGCTGACTCGCCAGGCTCTGAGGGAAGATCCTGGGTGCCTCTCCAGCTCTCCTGGCTGGGCCGCGCTCCCTCGCTAGGCTCTGAGGGAAGATCCTCCGGGCCTCTCCAGCTCTCCTGGCTGGGCCACGCCCCCTCGCTAGGCTCTGAGGGAAGATCCTCGCTGCCTCTCCAGCCCTCCTGGCTGGGCCACGCCCCCTCGCTGGACTCTAACGGAAGATCCTCGCTGCCTCTCCAGCCCTCCTGGCTGGGCCACGCCCCCTCGCTGGGCTCTAACGGAAGATCTTCGCTGCCTCTCCAGCCCTCCTGGCTGGGCCGCGCCCCCTAGATAGGCTCTGAGGGAAGATCCTCGCTGCCTCTCCAGCTCTCCTGGCTGGGCCGCGCTGACTCGCTAGGCTCTGAGGGAAGATCCTCCGGGCCTCTCCAGCTCTCCTGGCTGGGCCACGCCCCCTCGCTAGGCTCTGAGGGAAGATCCTCCGCGCCTCTCCAGCTCTCCTGGCTGGGCCGCGCTCACTCGCCAGGCTCTGAGGGAAGATCCTCGCTGCCTCTCCAGCTCTCCTGGCTGGGCCGCGCTCACTCGCCAGGCTCTGAGGGAAGATCCTGGCTGCCTCTCCAACCCTGCTAGCTGGGCCACGCCCCCTCGCTAGGCTCTAACGGAAGATCCTCGTTGCCTCTCCAGCTCTCCTGGCTGGGCCGCGCCCCCTAGATAGGCTCTGAGGGAAGATCCTCGCTGCCTCTCCAGCTATCCTGGCTGGGCCGCGCCCCCTCGCCAGGCTCTGAGGGCAGATCCTCGCTGCCTCTCCAGCCCTCCTGGCTGGGCCGCGCCCCCTCGCCAGGCTCTGAGGGAAGATCCTGGCTGCCTCTCCAGCTCTCCTGGCTAGGCCACGCCCCCTCGCCAGGCTCTGAGGGAAGATCCTTGCTGCCTCTCCAGCCCTCCTGGCTGGGCCACGCCCCCTCGCTGGACTCTAACGGAAGATCCTGGCTGCCTCTCCAGCTCTCCTGGCTGGGCCGCGCCCCCTCGCTAGGCTCTGAGGGAAGATCCTCCGGGCCTCTCCAGCTCTCCTGGCTAGGCCACGCCCCCTAGATAGGCTCTGAGGGAAGATCCTGGCTGCCTCTCCAGCTCTCCTGGCTAGGCCACGCCCCCTCGCTAGGCTCTAACGGAAGATCCTCGTTGCCTCTCCAGCTCTCCTGGCTGGGCCGCGCCCCCTAGATAGGCTCTGAGGGAAGATCCTCGCTGCCTCTCCAGCCCTCCTGGCTGGGCCGCGCCCCCTCGCCAGGCTCTGAGGGAAGATCCTCGCTGCCTCTCCAGCCCTCCTGGCTGGGCCACGCCCCCTCGCTGGACTCTAACGGAAGATCCTCGCTGCCTCTCCAGCCCTCCTGGCTGGGCCACGCCCCCTCGCTGGGCTCTAACGGAAGATCTTCGCTGCCTCTCCAGCTCTCCTGGCTGGGCCGCGCCCCCTAGATAGGCTCTGAGGGAAGATCCTCGCTGCCTCTCCAGCTCTCCTGGCTGGGCCGCGCTGACTCGCCAGGCTCTGAGGGAAGATCCTGGCTGCCTCTCCAGCCGTCCTGGCTGGGCCGCGCTCCCTCGCTAGGCTCTGAGGGAAGATCCTCCGGGCCTCTCCAGCTCTCCTGGCTGGGCCACGCCCCCTCTCTAGGCTCTGAGGGAAGATCCTCGCTGCCTCTCCAGCCCTCCTGGCTGGGCCACGCCCCCTCGCTGGGCTCTAACGGAAGATCCTCGCTGCCTCTCCAGCCCTCCTGGCTGGGCCACGCCCCCTCGCTGGGCTCTAACGGAAGATCCTCGCTGCCTCTCCAGCTCTCCTGGCTAGGCCACGCCCCCTCGCCAGGCTCTGAGGGAAGATCCTCGCTGCCTCTCCAGCCCTCCTGGCTGGGCCGCGCCCCCTAGCTAGGCTCTGAGGGAAGATCCTGGCTGCCTCTCCAGCTCTCCTGGCTGGGCCGCCCTCACTCGCCAGGCTCTGAGGGAAGATCCTGGCTGCCTCTCCAGCTCTCCTGGCTGGGCCGCGCTCCCTCGCTAGGCTCTGAGGGAAGATCCTCCGGGCCTCTCCAGCTCTCCTGGCTGGGCCGCGCCCCCTCGCCAGGCTCTGAGCGAAGATCCTCGCTGCCTCTCCAGCTGTCTTGGCTGGGCCCCGCCCCCTCGCCAGGCTCTGAGGGAAGATCTTCACTGCCTCTCCAGCTCTCCTGGCTGGGCCGCGCTCACTCGCCAGGCTCTGAGGGAAGATCCTCGCTGCCTCTCCAGCTCTCCTGGCTGGGCCACGACCCCTCGCTAGGCTCTGAGGGAAGATCCTCGCTGCCTCTCCAGCTCTCCTGGCTGGGCCGCGCCCCCTCGCTAGGCTCTGAGGGAAGATCCTGGCTGCCTTCCTGGCTGGGCCGCGCCCCCTCACTAGGCTCTAACCCAAGATCCTCGCTGCCTCTCCAGCTCTCCTGGTTGGGCCGCGTCCCCTCGCCAGGCTCTGAGAGAAGATCCTCGCTGCCTCTCCAGCCCTCCTGGCTGGGCCACGACCCCTCGCTAGGCTCTGACGGAAGATCTTCGCTGCCTCTCCAGCTCTCCTGGCTGGGCCGCGCCCCCTCGCCAGGCTCTAACGCAAGATCCTCGCTGCCTCTCCAGCCCTCCTGGCTGGGCCACGACCCCTCGCTAGGCTCTGACGGAAGATCTTCGCTGCCTCTCCAGCTCTCCTGGCTGGGCCGCGCCCCCTCGCCAGGCTCTAACGCAAGATCCTCGCTGCCTCCCCAGCTCTCCTGGCTGGGCCGCCTTCCCTGGCCAGGCTCTAAGGGAAGATCCTCGCTGCCTCTCCAGCTTTCCTGGTGCCCGCAGTGCTTGGCTTGCGGCTGGTTCACTCCGATCTCTGCCTCCCTCTGACGAGGCCCTCTGCGATTCCAGTGGACCCCCCAGGACAGTCAGCTCCCATCTTCAGGCCCTTCGCTGAGCCCACCTGCAGGGTCCGTGGAAGGGACATTCACAGGCTCCGCCGACTGCAACATGGGTATCTGTAGGAGGCCATTATTTAGTCTACAATAGGGCCACTAACTACTCTCTAGTTTACATTCAAAATTTTTCTTACTTACATGTTTTTTTTTTTCTGTGACTGCTGCATGGGGACATGAAAGTCATGAATAAATAAAAAGCTCATTCCTCCATGCACCTGTCACTTTGGGTCCTGTGACTGCAGCTCCCCACTCCCTGGCCCCCCATTCCCCTGCCTCCTGCACAGCAATGACGCACGTGTATGTCACAGGCACTAAGAGGACACATTTCAAGTCTATGGCCCCAAAACAGCAAGTATGTGAGGCGCAGTGTGTGATTGGCTTGAGTTAATCCTTCTACACTGAAAACATACGTCATAGCATCGCATTGTGCTCCATAAATATCATACAATTATGATTTGTTAATTTAAAATAATGTAAATTATAAGCAAAACATAATTAGAAGCCTAGCGGTAAAGAAAATCCAGGTCTAAATGGCTTTCATGAAAAATTGTGCTAAGTGTGTAAAAGAAATAGGGCTCAACTCACATCTCATCTTCCCAGGATAGGAAAAGAGGAAACGATTCTCACCTAATGTTTTGGGGAGAGAATAGCATGGATGCTGAAACCTGGAGTTCACTACAAGAAAGAATTATCATTTAATTTTTCCCCAAAAAGTTGTTTTTTGGGGGAAATTTTCCAAAATTTCCCAAGAAATGTAAAAATAGCTAAACAGTTTAACAAATCACCATACAGTGAAATTTTAAATCAGAATAACACACTGTGATCAGGCTGTGTATTCCGGAAAATAAGGACTGTGTAATGACCAAAGATCAACAGAATCACTGATGTCTGCAAAAATAGCAGAGAGGAAAATCCAAGGTCTGTCCCTTCACAGAATCACTGAAAAAACTGAGCAAAACGGTCAGAATCAACTTTGTCAGAACTCTAGAAACACCGAAGGTTTATAGTAACCAAGCAAATGCCTGAGAGATTCACCACAGACGTAGGAGGCGTCTGTAAAAACACCTGCCCTGCCCCAGCCCTGAGGCCAGGCAGCAAACTTGATGTTTCTATTACTCTTGAAATATGCAGGATGTTTACAGACTACACAAAAGAAAATAGAAATTATTAGTAAAACCTGACATTTAAAAACAATGGTTCAGTTGATGATAAGATAGAAATAAGTTAATTCTATACTATTTCCATTATTTCTAATTATATGTGTGAATATATAGTACAGTTAAATTGTAAATCTTTGATCCAAGACATACAGCATTTAAACACAGCAGATTTCCTTTTCTGATATTTCAACACATTCCTAAATTGATACAGATAAATTGGTTACAAATTAATGACTACTTTAGAAAATCACCAACTAGTGCTATAACACATGAATAGATTTTAAAGTAACAAAATACAAAACAAGTAATTCATATCGGGGTAGAATACATGAAATTATCTAGATAATTCAAATATTAGAAAATTGGACATCTCATCTACAGAGTATACTTGCATTTCTATAACTAAGTTCATACATTAGCTAATTTTCACATAGTATTTACATATAGTATTTTTAAAATGTCTTAACCATTTTTTCTTTCTCTGGTCTAAAGGGAGTATATAACGAATTATATCTTCAGTTAACCTCAAATAAAATTTCTAAAGCTCCTAAAACAAATCTAAACAGAAATAACATGAATGGTTTTAAATAGAATAAGACTTTTACTTGAGACATTTTTTAAGAATGTGGAAAGATAAGGCCCGGCACAGTGGCTCACGTCTGTAATCCCAGCTACTTGGGAGGCTGAGGCGAGTGGATTACTTGAGGTTGGGAGTTTGAGACCAGCCTGACCAACATGGAGAAACCCTGTCTCTTCTAAAAATAAAAAATTAGCCAGGCATGGTGGCACATGCCTGTAATTCCAGCTACGTGGAAGTCTGAGGCAGGAGAATCGCTTGAACTCGGGAGGCAGAGGTTGCGTTTGAGCCAAGATTGCACCATTGCACACCTGCCTGGGCAATAAGTTGATAGATATGAATATTTAACAGCATGAAATTTCATTTCTCCATAATGATATATAAAAACAACAATTCAAGAACTCCAAAAGGATTTATAATGGAACTAGATAAATTGATTCTACGATTTGTGTGTGAGAGTAAAGGATCAAAACCTGCCCCGGCGTATCTCAGAAGAACAAGGTTAGGAAACTACTTTGCCAGGTATCAAGTAATAGAAAATCACTATTGCCTAGTCACAGCACGAGGGGAAACAAACAGATTAGAGAACACAGAATAGAACACTAGGAATTGAGCATCTCATACATTCAAACAATGTAGCACAGACATATTATTGTATATCAGTGAGTGAAAGAGGTTCCTGCAGTGAACAGTGCTGGAATGCCTGGTTATCAATATTGAAAAAAATTAACTTGGATTCCTACATCTTATCTTGCATTTATTTATTCCACATATAATAGGCATTTTAATTTGAAAGGAAACCTAAAATATCTGCAAGAAAGTATGAAAATATCTTTATGAGCTGAGGATAGAAACATATTTCTTCAAATAAAAAAGCATGAGTCATGCATTAAGAGCTTGCTGACTTAGCACATTAAAAATAGAAAATTCTATTAATCAGAAAACACCATTAGAAGAAATATTTGAGCTGCAGATTGAAGAAGATAAGTGCATGACATATAACTGACAAAGCATTACTGTTGAGAATATAAAAATAATTACTGGGAGTTAATCTGGAATAGAAACACAGCACTGTGTGTGTACACCCATATACACACAAATATACAGACATGCATGTGCATACATTCCAGATACAAGGAAACAGAGGCCAATAAGTGTTTGAAAAGATGTTCAATGACATTGCAACCAGAAAAATGCCAACTAAAACCAAAAAAGCTATTTCCCCCGCATCAGACATTAAACCTCCTGCCCACAGTGTGCATTGGCGAGGAAGTGGAGGAAAGGGAGCCTCAAGCTCTCCTGGGGCAGGGACTCTGGGAAGGTGTGATTCGGTTATTTACTAAAGTGGACAGGTGCATCTCCTAAGACTCAAGAAACTCACTTGCAGATACAAACCCTAGACACACCCTTGCATGTGTGCCCCAGACATGGCTCAGGAATGTTTACAGCTGCGCTGCTTTTAATAATCCAGTGTTGGGGAGGCCTTCAATCACTTGTAGAATGGATAACATCTTGGGTATTTTATGCTAAATAATGTTATAAACACATAAAAAAAGAGAACTATACTTTTGTGCCTCAACATAAACAGCAAAATGAGCAATACATTGTTTAAGGATGAATAGGTAGGTAGATGATGGATAGATAGATAGATAGATAGATAGATAGATAGATGGATAATCGATAAATGATAGATGATGGCTAGATAGATAATAAATGAATAAATAGATGATTAATAGATATATACCATATAGATAAATGATAGATGGATAAATAGGTGAAAGAAAGATTGATAGATGATAGGTAAATAATAAATAGAAAGCTAGATGATAAATAAATCCATAGAAAGATGATGGATAGATATTAAGATAGATAGGTAGACAGAAAGACAGTAAATTATCCTGAGTTCTCTGGAGCTCAGCGGATTTGCTGACTTTGTATTGGGGGTGCAATCCCAAAAAAGTAGGATGAGGTAAGTGGAAGTGAGGCCCCCGGAGTTTGAAAGTGCAAACCAGAACAGTTCAGGGGAAGTGAGGCCCCTGGAGGTGGAAAGTGCAAACCAGAACAGGTCGCTGAGCCCCAGCTCTGCAGCTGATGAGACGGGATGAACACGTGGTCTCATGGGGGAATCCAGGGGAGTCACTGGTGGGGAGGTGTGAAACAAGCTCCCTGATTCACCTCCCAGGGGCCCACTCCTGCCTCTCCTGCAGTTCCAAGCCATGAGGTCAACCCCTCAGGAACCAAGGGGGAAGCCAGCCCAGGGCCTCTTTTGGAAAAGACAAAGACATGCCAGGTTGTGGGTCATTAAAGCCATGGTTTCCCTCAGCTGCTAGCAATGACTGCAGGGCAAAGACTCACAGGCTCAGGTGGGATTTTAAGCAGAAGCTTCCTAACTCTCCCAGTGAGAGGAATGTGTCCAATTCACACAGTCTCCAGCACAAATGACCAACGGTTCTGTTATCATAAAACGATTCTGCTTGCCATAAATATTTACAATGTGTTGTGCACATTTTACAAAAGGTCGTGTTTGCCAACCCCCTGTCTTGTCTTAGTCCACATTCTGTTGCTATGACTGAATGCTGCAGTTTGGGTAATTTATACAGAATTGAGGTACCTTCACACTCTGGAGGCTGAGACATCTGAGAGGGAGATGCCAGCATCTTGGGAGGGCCTTCCTGCTGTGCCATGGCCTGGCAGGAGCCATGAGATGTGCCCTTCCTCACTTCCAGAGCCACCAGCCCCTTCGGGGGGGCCCCACCTTGATGACCTCATGGAGTCCCAGTTCCCTCTCAAAGGCCCCACCTCCAAATATCATTAACATGTGACTTAGGGGTTAAATTTCTAACACAAAATTCAGGGAACACAGTGAAATCAAAGCACATCCCCAGGCAGCTGCTACAAAAGTCAGAGCATCCTGGGCCCAGCTGGGCAGAGAGTCCAGCACTTGGAGCTCCAGGTTGTGGATGGGAATAAGAAAACAGTCCTCACACACAAAAGAAAGCTCATTCCAAGAATCAAAAGACAAAAAAATTGCAACAATCACAGAAAATATAATGCAGAATAAGGGTGTTGATATAAGACCTTACATACATGCTGTGTTACTGCTGTCAATAATGTAATCAATTTTCCTTTTACAACTAAAACATCACGGCATATACAAACCGATTCTAACTATACTCTTGGTTCATTTTCTGTTGCTTATAACAGAATATTTGAAGCTGGGTAATTTTTTTAAAAAGGAATTTGTTTCTTACACCTACGGAGGCTGAGGAGTCCAAGGTTGGGGTCTGCATGTATTGAGGAACTGTGTGCTGATGGAGGCTTTGCCAAGTCAGAGGCGGCGCGGGAATTGCATGGTCACGGGCTGAATGCTAAGTGCTCACTCAGGTCTCTCTTCCTCCTCCTGGAAAGCCACCAGTCCCTCTTCCATGGCAACCCATTAGTCCATGAGTCCATGTGTGGCAGGACAAGCCACAGACAAAACCCCTCAGACACCGAGTTAAAGAAGGAAGGGTTTTATTTGGCTGGGAGCTTTGGCAAGACTCACGTCTCCAACAACCGAGCTCCCTGAGTGAGCAATTCCTGTCCCTTTTAGGGGCTTACAACACTAAGGGAGGCCGCATGAGAGGGTCATGATCAGTTGAGCAAGGAGAGGGTACAGGACTGGGGGCTGCATGCACTGGTAATCAGAACAGAACAGAACAGAACAGAACAGGACAGGGATTTTCACAATGCTTTTCCATACAATGTCTGGAATCTATAGATAACATAACCGATTAGGTCAGGGGTCGATCTTTAACCAGGCCCAGGGCGCAGCGCCGGGCTGTCTGTGTGTGGATTTCATTTCTGCCTTTTAGTTTTTACTTCTTTCTTTGGAGGCAGAAACTAGGCATAAGACAATATGGGGGGTGGTCTCCTCCCTTACATGGATGGAGGAATCCATTCATGAGCTTCCAGGATGCAGTCACCTCTTAAAGTCCTCCCTCAATGCTGCCATGCTGGGGATTAAGTTTCCACGAGATCTTTGGAGTGGACAGACATTCAAACCATGGCCACGCTACAGTGAAAATTTAAAACCAGCAGACCATCCATCTGCATTCGTTTTCTATGGTTGCTGTGACAAATCACCACACACTGTGATTTGCAGCAACACAAATCTATCATCTTTCTGCTCAGTAGGTTGGAAGCCTGATGCAGCTCCTGGGGGCTAAAGTCCAGCACTGTGAAGCTGCGTTCCCTTCTGGGCTCTGGGCAGAAGCTGCTTCTCAGGGTTTCCAGCTTCCCAAGGCGTTCACCATCCTGGGCTCCCGCCTCTCCTCCAGCTCCAGCAGCCCCTGAGCGCCCCTACGCTCCCCGTGTGGCTGCAGGGTCCTGTGGCTGCGCTGGGTCCATGTGGACAACCCAGTGTGGTCTCCCCTACATCAAGCATGTTGAGGAGCAACCTCCACTCCCTCCATCCGCAGCCTCAGCTCCTCTGCACAAACCCACACAAACACAGCTGCCAACCATCCAGAGAAGGGCATGTGTGGGGTGGCAATGATCTGCCTGCCCCATTGTCTTTGAGGTTATTTTAGGGGTTGGAACAATAAATCACAAATAATATGAATCTATGTACTGATTTCGCTACCTCTGTGTACTGTCTGCATCACTCTGGGTTTTCTGGCTAAACAAAGCCACTGTGAACATCACAACAGTCATGGGGTTTTCGTAGAAGGAATATGGGTTCAGGGGGCGTGGGAGAAGCGGGTGAGGGGGTGGCTGAGGCTCCGAGATTTGCTCCCAAGGATCACCCATGTGGGAGCTCTGGGAGCCTCTGAGGAACCCACCACTGGCCTCAAGGCATGAGGCAGACCAGAAGGTCCCGGATGCCCAGTTGGCTGTGGCCCCGCCTGGCGCCCTCCCTCCATGTCCCCGCAAGCCCCTTCCCTGAGCAAGGGCAGCAGAGAGTCCCTGGAGAGCAGCTCCTGGTGCCCCCTGTGCCGTGACTTCCCCGCGCCGTGACTCCCCCGTGCCGTGACTCCCCCCGTGCCGTGACTCCCCCCGTGCCGTGACCCCCCCCGTGCCGTGACCCCCCCCGTGCCGTGACTCCCCCCGTGCCGTGACCCCCCCCGTGCCGTGACTCCCCCCGTGCCGTGACCCCCCCGTGCCGTGACCCCCCCTGTGCCGTGACTCCCCCTGTGCCGTGACTCCCCCCGGGCCGTGACCCCCCCGGGCCGTGACCCCCCCGGGCCGTGACTCCCCCTGTGCCGTGACTCCCCCCGTGCCGTGACCCCCCCCGTGCCGTGACTCCCCCCGTGCCGTGACTCCCCCGTGCCGTGACCCCCCCGTGCCGTGACTCCCCCCGTGCCGTGACTCCCCCCGTGCCGTGACTCCCCCCGTGCCGTGACTCCCCCCGGGCCGTGACCCCCCCGGGCCGTGACTCCCCCTGTGCCGTGACTCCCCCCGTGCCGTGATTCCCCCCGTGCCGTGACTCCCCCCGTGCCGTGACTCCCCCGTGCCGTGACCCCCCCGTGCCGTGACTCCCCCCGTGCCGTGACCCCCCCGGGCCGTGACTCCCCCTGTGCCGTGACTCCCCCCGTGCCGTGATTCCCCCCGTGCCGTGACTCCCCCCGTACCGTGACTCCCCCCGTGCCGTGACTCCCCCGTGCCGTGACCCCCCCGTGCCGTGACTCCCCCCGTGCCGTGACTCCCCCCGTGCCGTGACCCCCCCTGTGCCGTGACTCCCCCTGTGCCGTGACTCCCCCCGGGCCGTGACCCCCCCGGGCCGTGACTCCCCCTGTGCCGTGACTCCCCCCGTGCCGTGATTCCCCCCGTGCCGTGACTCCCCCCGTGCCGTGACTCCCCCGTGCCGTGACCCCCCCGTGCCGTGACTCCCCCCGTGCCGTGACTCCCCCCGTGCCGTGACTCCCCCCGTGCCGTGACTCCCCCCGTACCGTGACTCCCCCCGTGCCGTGACTCCCCCTGTGCCGTGATTCCCCCTGTGCCGTGACCCCCCCCCCGTGCCGTGACTCCCCCCCGTGCCGTGACTCCCCCCGTGCCGTGACTCCCCCTGTGCCATGATTCCAGTCCACAGCCAAAACCCAGAGCGCTCAGAAAACACCTAACCACAGCCTGTGGGGGCCCCTGTGTGAAGGACACCATAGCTGACATACTCTCACCATCACAGGACAAGCTCCCTGGGCCCCAGCCTGGGTGGCCAGGGCTCCGGAACTCCACCAAACCCCAGCAGGGTCACCCGACCTGGGCCCCCCAGACCTCCTATTCTCAGGACATCAACCCCAGAGCACCCCCGGCTGTAAATGCTTTCTGCCCCTTAGGGAAGTGAATCCTCCCGGCCTCCGCACTGGGCCCAGGACTGCTTTTCTCAAGGACCTGGGAGCCGTCCCCCAAATTCTTATTGTGAACCCAAAATATCGAAGACAGGTCTCAACGAATTTGGAAAGGTTACTTTGCCAAGTTAAGGACAGGCCCGTGACAGCCTCGGGAGGTCCTGAGGACGTGTGCCCAAGGTGGCCGGGCACAGCTCAGTTTTACACGTTAGGGAGACGTGAGGCATCGACCCATATGTGTAAGAGGAACATTGGTTCGGTCCGGACAACTCCACAAGGGGAGGGGGACATTCCGCAAGGGATTTCCTAGTGGGCAAATTGTGAGAGGTATGTAGGGTTTTTTTAAATCTTTGCAGCTATTTTATTTAGAAATAAAATGGGAAGCAGGTTTGCCTGACGCAGTTTCCAGCTTGACTTACCTTTGCTGAGTGATTTTGGGGTCCGGAAACGTATGTTCCGTCCATCATGAAGGGCCCCAGCCTATCCCATCACAGTGAGGGGTGGGGCATGACCTGGAGCCGCAGTTGGCAACGGGAGTGGCTTTAGCACCCCGACCACCCTAACATCTTGCACTGTCTGGGGGCTCCCCGGGCTCAGCAACACCCACCTCTGTGGCTGGGAGCTGGGCTCAGCCACATCCCTGCAACTTCTCCGGGACACCGCCATCCAGCTACGCCAAGGCCTGACGGCGGCTCCATGTTTCCTGCCAATGGCGGTGCTATTAATTTGTGAGTAAAAATGCGTCATCGTACGTGTCTAAAACTTGATGGGGAGATTCTAGTCACATAAATTCTATTATTTGGAAGAAATATTATATAATTAAAGATGGACTATTCACTTTTAAAACTTCCTCGGAGAAATCAGTGATCAGAATTCCACAGTTGAATAATTAAAGCTGAAGACTAATATTGGAATGATGGATTTGTACTGAGACATAAAACCATATATCCACCAGATTCAAATACCCAAAAAGAATACACTTAAGAACTATTTTACAGTTGATAGATCCATATATTTTGCAAATTGAATGGCTGTAGAAATTTTTATGCAAATATAAATTGCAAAGTTGAAGAAGTTCATTTCTAGGGGAAGTCAGGAACTTTCTGAGGAAACTGCTTCAGACACCTTCCACGGCTATGACTCTATAATGTGAAAATAATGGCCGTTGATGGAAAATCCGTGCCTTTAATGACAGGCAATTTTATGTCTGTGCTGCCTTTTGCAAAGGTGGTCCTTTTCTCTTTAGAGTTCTTTAGGTTCTTTTTTTTTTTTTTTTTTTTTTTTGAGACACAGTCTCGCTCTGTCGCCCAGGCTGGAGCGCAGTGGCGTGATCTCAGCAAGCTCCGCCTCCCGGGTTCACGCCATTCTCCTGCCTCAGCCTCCCGAGTAGCTGGGAATACAGGTGCCGGCCACAACGCCTCGCTAATTTTTTTTGTGTGTGTTTTTTTTAGTAGAGACGGGGTTTCACCGTGTTAGCCAGGATGGTCTCGATCTCCTGACCTCGTGATCCGCCTGCCTCGGCTTCCCAAAGTGCTGGGATTACAGGCGTGAGCCACTGCGCCCGGCCTAGAGTTCTTTAGTTTCTTTAGATTTCTTTATGTTCTTATAGAGTAAGCAGAATTGTATACCAAATCCAATAACAGATAACAATTTTTTTAAATGCCTTCAAATTAGGTTTCATAGCAGTTTGAGGAAAAAATAATTTCTCTTTAAAACTGAACAGACATAGAAAAAAGAAAATTAAGCCTCTTGTTTCCCTGCCTGAAAGTGTGGGTCAAATTCTTCTGTTTATCTGTCCACGCTCCCCACAGAGTTCAGTTAACTGACATTTTAAGTATACACTTGTAAAATAGGGTGTAATTTTTGTGAGGAGCAGGCTTTTACATCCGTGGTAGTTTCTCCTGCTGTGGATGGTGAGGAGCCCCCTGCACACCTCAAAGGGCCTGAGTCAATGCAAAGACCGGCCCTCGCTTCCTTCCTCCAGGAAAGAGAAAATCATCGCCTTTGCAAAAGACAACAGAGACAGAAAATTGCCTGTCATTAAATCCACGGTTTTCCCATCAACGGCCATTATTTTCACATTATGTAATTATAGGCTTGGAAGGGATCTGAAGAAGTCTCCTCAGAAGGTCCCTGATTGTCCAAAGAAATGAACTTCAATTTAACAACTCTGCCCCCGTCGATTGTCATTATAAGAACCTATTTACATCCCTATTCACATGCAAATTTAACAATCCAATAGCATCTTTCTCTTGCAGATACAGAAAGCTCACATTTGCCATCACTCCCCTTTACGAATCGCTTCACCCTCTGACCAGATCCCCTCACAGTCACTTTCTAGAACTCATTCTGGTGCCAGCTATCTTTATGGACAGAAAACTACATTTTGAAATCAAATCAAGTGTGTTCTATTTTCCATCCAAATAAATCTGGAGCACTTTCTGCCTCTTTGGATGCTCTCTTAAAACTACCTTTTAGCTATGCCATAGCACACAAATTCAAAATGCCTTCAAATGTTGAATCATCTTTTATTGTGTTTTTGTGTTGTTAAGTTGATGAATCCTTACGAACGTAAAATAAAAAGGCAATGGATACAGTTGAAGGAGAGTTTGGGTTCTTTGTGAGGAGTGAAGGTTCTGAGTTATCTGACATCTCCCTTTGACGCTTTGCACGAGTACTTTCCTACGCGTAATAAATATAGACGAACCCACGGCAAACTTTGCCAGACTCTGCCATCCTGAAGACGTAGTCCCAAAGAGGAAACCACACTCCCTCTCGGGCTTTCACCCAGGCTTGGCCCACAAACCTTACAGACGGCCACAAAAAACACACGCACATGCACACACATATACAGACATACACACACGCAC